>NC_000012.12:44278309-44429824 GCF_000001405.40 Homo sapiens | reverse complement strand
AAACAGTACTTGTCAAGGTCACCAGTGGTCCCTCCCTACCTTGCCAAATCCATTGAGCATTCTCAGGTCCATCTTCATCAACTTATTGGTAGATTCCACACAATGATCACTCTTTTCTTGAAAAACTATCATGATTTTGCATCTGGGACACCATGTACTTGATTCACACACCTCACTGGCCACTTATCCTCAGTCTCCTTTACTGGTTCCACCTAATCTCCTAAATTTCAGAGTTCACCCAGGGTCAGTGTTAGGACATCTCCTCTCTACACTGAGTTTGTGATCTCACCTCATTCCATGGCAACAAGTACCATCCATACCCTCACTGCTCCTAAATTTATATCCCAACCTTGGAGCTTTTCCCTGAACTATAGACTCATATACTATTTCACTTGCTAGAATCAAATCCTTGGTGTAATTCTTGACCTCTCTCTTACTCTCATGTGGCAAATTTAATTTGTTGGAAAAGCCCACTCAGCTTCATTTTTAAAATATATCAAAATTTTAACGTTTTCTTGTTGCCTCCTCCATAGCCATCCTAGTCCAAACCACTATAATCTCTTGAACGTATTTCGATAGCCTCCCGTTTTCCCCTACTCTGCCTTGCTACCCTAGACAGAGCTGGCAGATGATGCTAATCCTTAAGGTATCCTCCAAGGCCTTACAATTTGTCTACATAAAAAGTGTCACAGCAAGCATTACATTGCCTGTGAGCTTGTTAGAAATGCAAAATCTCAGGCCCTACTCCCAGATCGGCTGAGTCAACTTTGCAGATGAATAAGATCCCCAGGTGGTTCATGTTACATGCTAATAAGAAGCACCACCCTATGAGCTCTGCCTTCCCCTACAATCCCCACTACTTTCCAGATGTGTTGCCTTCTCTTTGTTCCTGTTCTGGAGCCACTACATCCTCCCTTGCTCACTGCAGTTCCCCAAATACGCTAGTCATGCTCCCTCTTCAAGGCTTGTGCTTTTCCTTCATCTGAAATGTACTTTCTCCAGATATCTGCAGTGCTTTGTCTTACTTTATTCCTGATTCTGCTCAAATGTCACCCTCTCAGAGAGAACTTTGCTGGCTACCTTATCTAACAGAGATATCCCACACCCATCCCTGTATGTTCTCTCCCCTTTGCCCAGCTTTATAGTGCACTAGCTGATATTTTATGTTTATTTCACATATGTCTCTCCACATTAGAATATAAGAGCCACGAAAACAGGTACTTCATTTTATCTCTTAAGGGAGTGCCTACTTCTAGCAGGCTATCAGTAAAATATTTGCTGAATCGACTAAGGAATTTAGGATGCACCCCAGCCATACTTGATTCTTTGTTATCCCCTATACACACTCTGTGCTCTTTCCATCATCTAATATTGAAATGCCATCCAGACCTGAGCCTCTGCTCAAACACCATGTCTCCCATGAGGCTTTTGCAGACTTCCCCAGATGAAAATAATTTCTTCCCTCCATTTCCATGTAAATTTCTATCAGTCATTGAGTAGCTTCTACCACATTCTGCCTCATGCTTTTTGTATTCAAACAATCTATCTGCTTCTTTATCAATTTTATTGAGATGGGTATTATTTACATATAATAAAGCACACACATTCCAAGTTTACATTTTAGGAGCTTGACAAATATATACTTCGTCTAATCACTAACCCAGTCAAGTTATCCATTATTTCCACCACCACAGAGATTTCTGCCATGGTTTTTGCAGTCAGCCCATTCTTGCCCTACTGATTCCTGCATCAGGTAACCAAAATCCCATTTCCATCACTACAGATTAGTTTTGCTGATTCTAGGACTAGAATGAATTGTATAGCACAAACTCTTTTGCGTTTGGTTTATTTTACTCAGCATAATGTTTTGAAATTTATCCATGTTGATTTAGTATCAGTAGTTCCATTTTTATTGCTGGGTAGTATTCCACCACATAGATACACTACAATTTGTGTATCCATTTACCTGTTAGTAAACCATTTGGTTGTTTTCAGCTTGGACTATGTTGAATACAGCTGCAGTGAACATTTTTGTGTATGCCTTTTGTAGACACATACTTTTATTTATTTGGGGTGCATACCTAAGAGTAGAAGCAGTGAGCTTTAAAATAATATCTTTATAAAACTTGATAACATGTTTTTGAAAGTGACTGTATAATTTGCAAGCCTACTAGCAAGGTATGAGAATTTATTTTGCATTTCCCTGATGACTTTATGACATTTTCATGTACTTAGTGGCATTCGTATGTCTTCTTTGGTAAAAGTACTATGCAAGACTTTTGCCCATATTTACAATTGGCTTTTTTGTCTTCTTTTTATTGAGTTGTAAGAGTCCTTTATATATTCTTTATATTGACATAAATTCATAATTATATACATGTATCTGTTCTTTATATATTCTGGATATAAGTCCTTTGTTAGAAATTGCAAATACTTTCTCCCATTGTTGCTTGCCTTTTCATTTTCTTAAAATTATATTTTAAAGAGCAGAAATTTAAATCATTTTCTCATTTGTTAGTATTTTTTATGACATGAAAAGTTTTTTTGCCTTTTCCAATCTCACCATTTTAAAGACAAGGATTATCTCTGATCAAGGAATTGCTCACAGGTGTCTCCAGTGATGTTTATGTGATTGTTGAACTTACGGTTATTACAGCAGAAGAAGTATGATTTTAATGCATCTAATTGCCTTTCCAGTTGTTTAGTTGATGTTTAAGCCTATAGGTGGTTAGCTCAAGCCATATGTGACCCCTTCAAAATGAGACTGCATCTGTCATAATGTTCCCACTAGCTCTGAGTTTAGCAGTTACTCTCTTCTACAGGCACTGAACAAGCATCAATTCAGCATCAGCCACATAGTTGCAAAAAGAGAAACCAGATTTGTTTAAAGAAATAAATGAACATATACAAAGAGTGTCAGGTAGCTTCCAAGATTTGGGGGAATCTGCAAAAGCAGTTTTGGGAAACAAGCAGGAATCAAGAGGGCTCTGGAGTCTAAAAGACAGGAAGACCCTGGCATGATGCTTCATCTCATAGTACTCAATGGTTCTGCCAGCATGCATCTCAACTATTATTGTCTGCCAGCTAGAGTGAATTTGAACTCTCTCTTAATTTTTGCATTTTTTGTTCACAACTCAATATTTTGGAGAGCAGTATCAAATTTATTCAACATATATTCTTGATTATCTCTTTTAGTGTCAGGCAGTGTTCTAGATGCTGAAAATATAGTAATTAACAAAATAGATTAAAATGCCTGTCTTTATGAAGCTTATAGTATTGGAGAAAAGAAATATGATAAAAATAAATATGATAAATAAGTAAAATATATTATATAATTATATACCTGGTCCTGGTTTCTCTGAAGTAAGTAGAGGGTGTATGTCTTTATTTGGCTTCTATACTCATCAAAATGGACAATTTATTACATATATACAACTCCCCATTGCATATATGTAATAAATTGTCCATTTTGATGAGTGTGAGGGAGAAATTGGATTGGGGGAAATTGGATTTTGGGGAAATTGGATTTTAAAAATGTGATGTGAGGGAGAAATTGGATTTTGAGGGGGCAAAAATATAGAAAAAAATAGTACAATATAGATATATTTAATTTAAAGTATAGATACTTTCTATTAGTTCATATTTACCTAATAATATATATTGAGCCCTTTGTTCCAGGCACTGTACCAGCCAGTTACACATATATTATCCCATTTTATCCTTATAACAATCATATAACCCTAAATTACCATCCATCTTTTTTTTGAGATAAGGTAATTGGAAGTTCAGAGTGATAATTTAACTTTTTTGAGGTTGGATAACAGGATTGATACCCAAGCGCTTTTATTCTATGTCCTGTGTTTCTTTCACAAGGCCATTCTCCAATTAATAGAGAGGTTTATTTACTGGGATTTTAAAAAATGAGAAGTTTATTGTGTTCTCATCAACCAACACATGGCTGCAGTTCCCCACCCCCACATATGATAAATTACACAGATGTCCCCTATCCACAGAATAAGCCTTAAGGATTTTTACCTACGGCCCTTACCAATATTTCAAAATAATGACTGACCCCTACTAAAGTTCAGGGCTGATTATTTCCTCTTCTGGGGATAAGAAATTAGAGGAAGAGGTGCAATTGTTGCATCTTGCTCTAATTGATGAAATGCATCTCATCCATATGAAGTTAGATCATAAAATACATAAAACTGTATGAAAAAGTACCAGCAAATAGAAAAATGTCTTCACTGAACTTTTCAAAAACACTTGGAGTCACTGAGCTTGGGGTCACAAGAAGGATCATTACTGCAGCTTTTTTTCCTTTCATTAAATGTTTACTCTTGGCGTTCTATTTGGCAACAAGCTCAAGGTTATGCTGTCAGTGCAAGATCATTAGCTTTACAATTTTTCAAAAAGTGTTTGCCTTAGGAAATGTTCATCCCAACTTGAGTGAACATGTTTATGTCCAGGTGTAAATCCTGTTGCTGGAGGAACCGCTTGCTAAGTAGAGTGGCTGCTGTTCTTTATTTCTCTGTGTGTGAATTAAGCAGCAGAAATTCATCAGAAATTTTTTCTTCCTGAACAACATTAGCTTAAGTTTTTAGCATAAGCTTTGGTTGTTGCACCTTGGTAAGCACTTTTCTCCTCTCATTTATCCAATAAAAGGTCTAAAGAGCTATGTCCCCTTCACTCCAACACCATCAAGGCAACTAGAAAAAAGTGACAAATGTCTAGTTATTTTTGGTTAAAGTGGTGACAGCTTGATGTCAGAAAATATTCTGGCTAATGGATATATATTCTTTTGTTTTCTCTCTCTGAACATTCCTTGAAAAAAGAGGAGTGTCTGGTTTGGTGAGGGTGGGGAAATTGGGAGGCGCACATGAAACTTTATAGAGCAACTAGAAGATGGTAGGCACTATGCTCAAGACTTGAGCTACTAGGATAACACTGCCCTTCTTTCAGCAAAACAAAACAAATGCAAAACTCTCAGTCTAGGGGAAAGAAGAACATGTAAAGAAATAATTGCAATTGTGTATGATAATTGATATGAGAATGACATTTTTCTACAGAGAAAAGGATGCAGAGTCAAAAGAAATTGCTTCTTTGGGGACCAGATTGCTAAGGCTTCACAAAAGAGGTGAGATTTTTGTTGGTCTCACAGGTAACAGAGTTCAACAGATTTGGTTTTAAAATCCATTATACATTTTACATTTCCAATGTTAAATTTGAATTATGGAGTTACACATACTTCTTTTTCTTACTTGTGCCTTCAGTGACTCTTGAAATATGATTTGTATTTTTATGTATCATTAAATTAAAATTGTATATACTTATATTCTTAATTGATAGCTCCTAGCCATAGGCAACAATGACTAGGAAGCAATTAATTGAGTAGTTGTCCTTCTTCTTGCAGATTTTGGGCAAAATGATAAATGGAGGCAGGACTGAGACAGGGCTGGAGGGGTTGGTTTGGGAGCTCTTGAATCTGATGCCAAGGAAATCTTTAGGCACATTTGAAGAGTACACAACTTTACAAAGCCATCCAACAATCTTGCTACCAGTTGGTATTTTACTCTGAAAGCAAATATTAGACAAAATTCTACTAAATGTCCGAAGTGGTTAGCAAGAGGGCGCTAAAACAGGACTTTCTAGAGTCTTCTGACTTGGGTTCTCTTTCTGGTTTGACCACATTGAAGATATGTGACTTTATATCAAACCATCTATCCCTCCTGTACTTCAAAGTTGTGATGAGAATTAAGCCAAATAAGGGAGGTGTATTATTTAGGGTTCTCCAGAAGAACAGAACCAATAGGGGAAAGAGAAATTAGTTCACACAATAATGGAAGCTGTCAATTCCAAAGCTCTCCAGTCGGCAAGTTGGAGACCCAGAAGAGCTTATGGTGTAGTACTAGTCTGATGGGCTCTAGGCTTAAGATCCAGGAAGAGCCAATATTTCATTTTGAGTCTGAAGGCAAGAAAAGACCAATTTCCCAGCTCAGAACAGCCAATCAGGAGGAGTTCCATCCCTCTTACTCATGGAAATCAACCTTTTTATTTTACTCAAGCCTTTAGCTGATTGGATGAGGTCCATGCACATTAGAGAGAGCTATCCGCTTTACCAAGTCTACTAGTGTCAATGTTAACCTTATCCAAGGACACCCTCACAGAAACACCAGATAATATTGATGTCTGACCAATTATCTGGGTACACGGTGGCCCAGTCAGCTGACACACAAAATTATCCATCATAGTAGGTAAACTTGCTAAGTAAATTAAAGCATCACATGACTCTAAGATATTCATATGTGGAGTTCATATGAGCCTTACCTATTTACTGCCTGCTGAATATAAGGGGATACTCATTCCTTTATCTCCAATCATTCATTATCCATTTGTATTCCAGGCCTTTCACATACCCACCAGTGTGCTTGGCCTGGGGATAAAATGATGAGCAAAACAATTCCCATCCTCACAGACATTATCACCTGCTGGATAAACACATTAATCAAGTACTCACAAACATAAACACTGATAAATTGTACTTAGTGCTAAGGAGAAAAAATAACCAGGGGACTACATAGTCTTGGGCTAGGAGTGGAGTGGGGTTGTCAGAGGTTTCCTTGCAAAAGTGAAGCTAAACTGAAGTTGGAGGATAAGAAGGGGCTAAAATGTATGAAGATAGGTGATGGAAAAGAGCTTTCATTCATTAAACTAGTATTTGTTGAGTGCGTCTCCATGTGAGGCACTGTTTTAGGTGGTTGGGCTAAATCTCTAAATAAACCAGATACGGAGCTTACAGTCCAGCCAGGGGAGACAGACAATCAACACATAATAAATAAATTATATAGTTGCTAGAAGATGACCCCATGACCTGGAAAGATGAGCAAAACAGAGCAAGGTAAGAAGTCTCAGTAGTGCCGGAAAGGAAGGTAGTGTTGCCATTTTAAATACAGTTCTCAGGTTTGGCTTTGCTGAGGAGGCAGTATCCAAGCAAAGGTTTACAGATGGCTACAGGGCTGGCCATGTGGGCATCTGGAAGGACAGGAGGGAATATCTTATGCAAATGTCCTAAGGTATGCACAAGCCTGTGAGGTGTGTTGGAGGAAATGCAAGGAGGCCAGGGACTAGAGCAGAGACAGCCAGGGCAGAGGAAGTAGAAGGCAACAATATAATAAGCAGAGCACAGAGTAAAATGCTATGATTCTATAAGGAATCATCTCATGTAGTTCTCATAGAACTCTGTGAGGCAGGCACAATTACTGAATGAGAATCAGGTTCAGAGATGTGAAGTGTCTGATTCAAAATTCTGTTAACCATGAATTCCATCTGTCCCAAAGGCTGCAAAAGACTGCAGAGCGTAATGGTTAGAAATACCACCTCTGGGGCCTGACTGCCAGTTTGAATCCTGGTTCTGTTAACTACAACCAGTGTGGCATTGGTATTTAACCTCTCTGTGCTTCAGTTTTCCCATTTGTAAAAATGGAATGGTTACAATACTACCTTATAGTGTTCTGAGAAGTGAATGAATTAATTCATATGGAGTGCTTATGAATAGTGTCTGGCACATAGTAATTACTGTACTCAAAAATTGTTAGCTATTGTATTGAATTCTATTCTAAGTAGTTACTCAGAAAACTACTGTGTTTCTCTTTCTTCTAGCAAATTTGAATTGAGCAACCCTCTGGCTGTTGATGATAAAGAGATGAATGAGAGAAAATTACCATGAGGTTCTATAAGTCTAGAACATAGGAGCAAGATCTGACCAGGGACAGAGACTTCCCAGGTGGAAGAAAAAATGATGGATGTAAGCAAAGTGTTCAGACTTCACTATGTTGAAAATGCAAATTTTCAAAAGCTTTTAGGCAGAGGAATAGGAATAAGGTTATACTTGTGTATATATTATTGTGACTGCAATATGGAAGGTGTTAGAAGGTATAGCAAGATGAGGGGGAGGGACAGTTAGAAAGCATTTTTAGTATTCCAGGAAGAAGACAGAGGGTCTGAACTAGGGTACAGTTAATAAGGATTTACTCAAAGAGATGCCCTGGAGAGACTGTAAGTATGTCAACTATGGGAATGGGTGAGGTGAAGAAAAGAAAATAATCTAGGGTAAATTCTACAGGTCTGATTTAGGCATCTGGGTGAACCATAGGGCCAACCATCAGACAGGAAATTCACGGAAACTGTTCTAAAGCTAATTTAGCAGATCAGAAGATGCCAGATTATTTGGTAAATACAGTAGCCACTGATGGGGCAGAAGTAGGTGTGGTCTATGCTTCCTTTTCCTTACAATTTGTAACAAGATGGAGTGTTATCCTGAAAGCAAGTCCCAAAAATTATTAGTAAAAATGCACAAAACCAGTGCCACACTCTGCACTAGGCACCTGACCAACACCTTGCAGTAAAGGCTAGTGAGAACTGATTCCAGGACTTTGTTAATGAAGGGCCAGACAACTTTTTGGTTGAGTTAGGTTACAAGGTTCTTTGTGGAGTCAGGGGTGGCTTGTGTTGGGGACTGGCGGTCGGGGGTTGGCTGGGGAACGCTGAACCATGGAACCATTGTGTTCCTGCAAGGGTAGTGGAGCCTGTAGAACATTCCTAGCCAGTCACCTTTCTTAAACACATTCATTTACTTAATAATTTTTAAATTATTTTATTATTAAAATATTGCTAATATTTTAAAGATAATTACAAACTCTAGGGTCTCAGATTTTGATAATGGTAATTCAAATGTTTAGTAACCATCTTTGGAGCATTGATTTCTGATAGATTACTTCAAATACTTCCTAATTACCCCCACCTGCCTTCCCCCAGGCATTTTTAGGATTAATCTGTACAACTGTTTAAAATTTAAACTTACTTCACACCACTTATACAGAAATAAGAAATTTTTTAAAATAAATTACCAATATATCAGGAAAGTCTGTCAGAAAGTTCTACATACACTAAATATAAAATGCCAGTGGAGTCTAAGTTTATATGTTTAGTGGGCATTTGCATATTTAAATTTAAAGTTCGAGAGAGGGCTCAAAAACATAGAATTAGTCATTATTAATACAAAAGGCATAGATCAAAAAGAGTGGCGATTTAAGTGGCTTGGGCAGTCAGTATACATATAATTAGAAATTTGTTTGCATAATTACCCTGGGTAGATTGCTTGATTTCTTTTTCTCATGGATAGTATCATAGTAGCCACTCTAGTTGCATGTATTAACTTATTTAATCCTCACAATAACCCTGTGAGGTAGGTATTGTTGTTATTCCATTTATATAGAAGAGGAAACCAAGGCACAATTAGGTTAAGTAACTTGTCCAAGATCATACGCACACACACACACACACACACACACAATACAACACCTGGGACTTTCATCACTAAAAGGAAAATAAAATCTTATTATTAGGTTGTTTTACTAGATGAGTGAAATGCAGAGGTTTTCTTTATTTTTTATTTATATTTATTTATTTATTTATTTATTTATTTATTTATTTATTTATTTTGAGACAGAGTCTCGCTCTGTCGCCCAGGCTGGAGTGCAGTGGCACAATCTCAGCTCACTGCAAGCTCTGCCTCCCGGGTTCACGCCATTCTCCTGCCTCAGCCTCCTGAGTAGCTGGGACTACAGGCGCCCGCCACCACGCCTGGCTAATTTTTTGTATTTTTAGTGCAGACGGGGTTTCACCGTGTTAGCCAGGATGGTCTTGATCTCCTGACCTCGTGATCCGCCCACCTCGGCCTCCCAAAGTGCTGGGATTACAGGCGTGAGCCACCGTGCCTGGCTGGTTTTCTTTATTTTTAAAATAGAAAGTCAGGTTACTGCCACGAAATAAAAACTATGGAAATATTTTGTTGCTTCCTGTAAGGCCCACCTCAGTGTTAGAGTTAAAGGAAGCTTCTTAATTAAATAATGTGGTCACTGGGAAGCAGCACTTCCAAGCTGTAGGTTGAAAGGAAGCACAACCAGTGCCAGTAATCAGAGTCAGGGAATTCCAGAAATGGGATGCTCCCTTTTCTCCCCTCCATGAGGGTAATTGGATGTTTCGCTCCTCAGTAGGGTCAGGCAACTGTGAGGAAGAATATTTGCATAACTCTCTCCCATGGACTGCAGGGCAAATGTCCTCACTGATTGTACCTCTCTGGAGAGCTATCACAACTTTTTGTGGTACTGTTTTGATCCATCCTTATTTTTTAAATATCTAGAAGCTTCAGGAAATGGAAGCGGTCAGGGTTGTTTACCATTTCTGAAGGCTTTGTTTTCATTGTGATGATCGTCATTAAAGTGGGCTCCATTTTCTATTGCTCATGGAGCATGGGGAGGATATTTATTTTTTATATATAGTCTATATAACAACCAACCTAAAAAAGATAATAGAAGAATCAAATCCTCACATGTCAATATTAACCTTGAATGTAAACAGGCTAAATGCACCACTTAAAAGACAGAGTGGCAAGTTGGATAAAGAAGCAAGACCCAACTGTCTGTTATCTTCAAGATACTCATCTCACATGCAATGACACCCATAGGTTCAAAGTAAAGGGATGGAGAAAAATCTACCAAAAACTCAACAATGATCAAAAAGGACACAGAAAGGCATTACATATGAAGAAAGGTTCAAATCAACAAGAAGATTTAATTATCCTACATATGTATGCACCCAGTGTTGGACCACCTAGATTCATAAAACAAGTTCTTAGACCTATGAAGGTATTTAGATAACCACACAATAATATTGGGAGACTTCGACAACCCACAGATGCTATTAGACAGATCATTGAGGCAGAAAACTAATAGATATTTGAGACCTAAACTCGATACTTGACCAGATGGACCTAACAGACATCTACAGAATAGTCCACCCAACAACAGAATACTTATTCTTCTCATCTTCACATGCCACATATTCCAATATCAGCCACATACTTGATCATAAAGCAATTCTCAACAAATTAAAAAAACTGGAATCAACAACCACACTCTCAGACAACAGCACAATAAAAATATCAATCAATATCAGGATGATCTCTCAATACCATACAATGACATGAACATTTTAAAAGTTTGCTCTTGAATGACTTTTGGGTAAAGAACAAAAATTAGCAGAAATCACAAAATTATTTGAAACTAATGAAAACAAAGATATACGCCAGAATCTCTAGGAAATAGTTACAGCATGTTTAGAGGAAAGTTTATAGCTAAATGCCTACATCAAAAAGACAAACATCTCAAATTAACACCCTAACATCACACATAGGACTAGTAAAACAAGAGTAAACCACCTCCCAAAGCTAACAGAAGAAAATAAATAACAAAAATCAGAGTTGAACTGAACAAAATTGAGACAAGAAAATCTATACAAAAGATCAACGGGTCCAAAAGTTGTTTATTTGAAAGAATAAATAAGATTGACCTAGTGGGCAAAGGGTATGAACAGACACTTTTCAGAAGAAGGCATACAGATGGCCAATGAACCTGTGGAAAAATACTCAACATCTCTAACCATTAGAGAAATGCAAATCAAAACCGCAGTGAAATATCATCTCACACACGAGAATGGCTATTATTAAGAACTCAAAAAATTAACAAATGTTGGCGAGGTTGTTGAAAAAAGGGAACACTTTTACACTGCTGGTGTAAATGTAAATTAGTTCAGCCATTGGGGAAAACAGTTTGGTGATTTCTCAAATAAATTAAATCAGAATTATCATTTGACCCAACTATCCCATTATTGGGTATATACCCAAAAGAATATAAATTATTCTACCATAAGGACACATGCATACGTAGGTTCATCACAGCACTATTCACAACAGTAGAGATGTGGAGTCAACTTTGATGCCCATCAGCGGTGGACTAGATAAAGAAAATGTGATACATATACACCATGGAATATTATGCAGCCATAAAAAGAACAAGATCATGTCCTTTGCAGCAACACGAATAGAGTTGGAGGCCATTATTCTAAGCAAACTAGCACAGAATATCAAATACCACATGTTCTGTTTTATAAGTGGGAGCTAAATTTTGAGTACATATGGACACAAAGAAGGGAACAACAGACACTGGACCTATTTGAGGGTGGAGGCTGGGAGGAGGGACAGGATTGAAAAACTACCTATCAAGTGCATAATTATGCCTATACCTGGATGACAAAATAATCTGTATACCAAACCCCTGCAACACACAATTTACCTATATAACAAACCTGCACATGTAGCCCTGAACCTAAAATAAAAGTTAAAAAAAACACACACAATTAGAAATGACAAAGCGGATATTACCACCAACCCACATAAATACAAAAGTCCTTCACAGACTATTATGAACACTTCTGTGCACACAAACGAGAAAGACTAGAAGAAATGGATAAATTCCTGGAAACATATCACCTCCCAAGATTGAACTAAGAAGAAAGAAATCCAAACCAATAGCAAGTTCTGAAATTGAATCAGTAATGAGAAACCTACCAACCAGAAAAAAACCCTGAACCAGATGGATTCACAGCTGAATTCTACCAGACATATAAAGAAGAGCTGGTAACAATACTACTGAAATTATTCCAAGGAATCAAGGAGGAGAGACTCCTCCCTAACTCATTCTATGAAGCCAGTATTGCTCTGATACCAAAACCTGGCAAAGACACATGAAAAAAGAAAACTTCAGGTCAATATCCCAAATAAACATAGGCACAAAAATCATCAACAAAATACTATCAAAACTAACCCAGTAGCGCATCAAAAAGATAATTCACTATGATCAAGTAGACTTTATTCCTGTGACGCAAGGTTGGTTCAACATATGCAAATCAATAAATGTGACTGATCACATAAACAACTAATATTTAAAACCCCATGATCATCTCAATAGATGTAGAAAAAACTTTCGATAAAATTCAACATGACTTCATGTTAAAAACCCTTAGCAAACTGGGCATTGAAGGAACATACCTCAAATAAAAGCCATGTATGACAAACACACAGCCCACATAACACTGAACAGGCAAAAGCTGGAAGAATTTCCCTTGAGAACTGGGAGAAACCAAGGATACTCATTCTCACCACTCCTATTCACCATAGTCCTGGAAGTCCTAGCAAGAGCAATCAGATAAGAGAAAGAAATAAAAGACATCCAAATAGGAAGAGAGGAAGTCAAACCATCTCCATTTGCAGACAATATAATTCTGTACCTTGAAAACCCCATAATCTGTACCCGAAGCCTCCTAGAAATGACAAACAACTTCAGTAAACTTTCAGGATATAAAAATCAATGAGTAGCATTTCTTTTTCTTTCTTTTTAATTTTATTTTACTTTAAGTTCTGGGATACATGTACTGAACATGCAAGTTTGTTACATCGGTATATATGTGCCAGGGTGGCTTGCTGCACCTGTCAACCTGTCATCTAGGTTTTGAGCCCCACATGCATTAGGTATTTGTTCTAATGCTCTCCTTCCCCTTTCCCCCAACCCTCCCGACAGGCCCCAGTGTGTGATGTGCCCTTCCCCATATCCGTGTGTTCTCATTGTTCAACTCCCACTTATGATTAAGAACATGCAGTGTTTGGTTTTCTGTTTCTGTGTTAGTTTGCTGAGGATGATGGTTTCCAGCTTCACCCATGTCCCTGCAAAGGATATGATCAAAAATGGGTATTTTGGCATTTATATATGCCAATAACATCCAAGCTGAAAGCCAAATCAGGAACAAAATCCCATTTACAATATCCACAAAAAGAAAAAAATACTTAGGAATACAGCTTGCCAGGGAGGTGTAAGATGTCTACAAGGAGAATTACCAAACACTGCTGCAATAAATCAGACATTACACAAACAAATGGGAAAACATTCCACTCTCATGGATAGAAAGAATCAATATTGTTAAAATGGCCATATTGCCCATAGCTATTTACGGATTCAGTACTATTTCTATCAAACCGTTAGTGTCATTTTCCACAGAATTAGAAAAATCTTCTAAAATTTATAAAGAACCAAAAAAGAGCCCAAATAGCCAAAGCAATCCTAAGCAAAAAGAACAAAGCCAGAGATATCAAACTACTGACTTCAAACTACACTATAAGGCTACAGTAACCAAAACAGCATGACACTGATACAAAAACAGCCAACAAGTCTATTTTAAAATGTTCAACATCACTAATCAGAGAAATGCAAATAAAAACCACAATGAGACAACAACTCATAATGGCCAGAAAGGCAATTATTAAAATATCAAAATACAGCAGATTTTGGTGAGGCTACAGAGAAAAGGGAACACTTATATACTGCTGGTGGGAATGTAAATGAGTTCAGCCACCAGGAAAAGCAGTTTGAAGATTTCTCAAAAGAACTAAAAACAGAACTACCATTCAACCCAGCAATTCCATTACCTGGTATATGCTCAAAGGAATATAAATTATTCATTATAAAGACAAATGCATGCCTATTTATTGTATTGTAGCAGTATTATTGATTGCTATAGTAGTTTATTGTAGCATTAAATAATAGCAAAAAATAACAATAAACAATAGCAAAAAAGGTGGAATCAACATAGATGACCATCAACGGTGAACTAAATAAAGAAAATGTGGTACATATACAGCATAGAATGCTATGCAGACACACAAAAAATGAGATCATGTCCTTTGCAGCAACATGGATGGAGCAGGAAGCCATTGTCCTAAGTAAACTTATGAAGAAACAGAAAACCAAATACTACATGTTCTCACTTGTAGGTGGGAGCTAAACGTTGAGTACACCTGCACACAAAGAGGGGAACAATAGACACTGGGGCCTACTTGAGGATGGAGAGTGGAAGGAGGGTGACGATCAAAAAATCACCTATTATGCGCTATACTCACTACCTGAAGGATGAAATCATTTGTATCCCAAACCAAAGTGACATGCAATTTACCCATGTAAAAAATCTTCACGTGTACCCCAAACCTAAAATTAAAGTTGAAAAATCAAGAGTTCTTTATATATTTTCATATCTGTTCTTTATCAGAGATGTTTTGCAAATATTTTCTCTCAGTATGTGGCTCATCTTTTTATTTTCTTAACAGTGTCTTTAGCAAAACAGAAGTTTTTAATTTTAGCAAAGTTTCACTTATCAATTTTTTTTTCATGAATCATATTTTTGGTGTTGTGTCTAAAAACTTATCTCTAAACCCAAGGTCTACATTCTTCTGTTTTCTTTAATAAATATTAAATATTTATTTTTAATTGTTCACTTTACATGTAAGTTTATGACTCATTTTTCATTTACTTTTGTGAAGGGTATGTAGTCTGTGTCTAGATTTTTTTTTTTGCATAAGTATGTCCAATCTTTCCAGCACCATTTGTTGAAAATGCTATCCTTTCTCCATTTGGTTGCCTTTGTTCCTTTGTCAAAGATTGATTGGCTGTTTTTGTGGGTATATTTCTTGGCTCTCTGTTCTGTTACATTGATCTATGTGTCTGTGTTTTCCACTAATAAGCTTGATTAACTATATAATAACTATAAGTATATAACTACATGATCTGGAAGCTCAGTAATGTCAGCCCTCCAACTTTGTGCTTCCTCTTCAGTATTGTGTTGGCAATTCTAGGTCTTTTGCCTTCCCACACAAACTAGAGTCCAAATTAGTTTGTTGACATCCACAAAACATAATTTGCTGGACTTTTGATTGGGACTGAGTTGAGTCTGTATATCAAGTTGGGAAGAATAGGCATCTTAACAATATTGAGTCTTCCAATCTTTGAACATGGAATATCTCTCCATTTGCTTATATCTTCTTTGATATCTTTCATCAGAATTTTGTAGCTTCCTACATATAGATCCTATGTGAGTTTTCTTAGATTTATACCTAAGTGTTTAATTTATTTTTGTGCTATTATAAATGGTGGTGTTCTTAATAAAGATAACTATGCTCCTTTGAGAAACAGCTCTTGGCCTGCTGCAGTATACCAAATGTAAACTTTTAAGTCCCTTTTTAATTTTTTTGTCTTATTGCATAGCTGGGCTTCCAGTACAATGTTGAAGAGAGGTGGTAAGAGGGGATATAGTTGCTTTGTTCCTGATCTTAGGGGGACAGCTGCCAGTTTCTTAATATCAAGCATTATGTAGTTTCAGGGTTTTTTGTAAATGTTGTTTATCAGGTTGAGGAAGTCCTCCTCTTATCTTACGTTGCTGAGAGATTTTATTGTTAAGTATATGTTAGATTTTGTCAAATGCTTTTTCTTTATCAATTGCCCATATAATTTATTTTGGCCTATTTATGTGGCGGACTACATTAATTGATTTTCTAATGTTGAGCCAGCATTGCATACCTGTAATAAGTCCCACCTGCTCATGGTGTATAATTATTTTGATACATTGTTGGAGTTGACTGTTAATATTTTTATATATATGTTTGTGAGGGATATTGGTCTGTAGTTTTTCTTTCTTGTGATGTCTTTATGTAGTTTTGCTGTTAGGGTAATGCGAGATTTATAGAATAAGTTAGAAAGAATTTCCTCTGTTTCTATTTTCTGGATCATATTATAGAAAATTGGTATTCTCTCTTTGAATGTTTGGTAGAATTTACTAGTAAAACTGTCTGGCCCTGGTACTTTCTGTTTTGGAAGTTTATTATTGATTCAATTTCTTTCAGAGATGTGGATTCTTTTAGATTATCTTTTCCTCCTTGTGTGAATTGGGTAGCTTGTGTCTTTAAAAAATTGGTCCACTTCATCTAAGTTATCAAATCTGTGGAGAGAGAGTTGTTCATAATATCTTTTTATTCTCCTTTTGATGACCATGAGATCAGTAATGATGACTCCTCTTTCATTTCTAATACTAGCAATTTTTATCATTTCTTTTCTTTTCTTTGTTGGCCTGGTACTATGATTTGAATCTTTGTCCCTTCCAAAATTTATGTTGAAATTTAATTGCCATTATAACAGTGTTAAGAGGTAGGACCTTTAAGAGGTGATTAGGCCATAAGGGCTCTTCCTTCATTATTAAATTAATGTCAGAGTGAGTTTGTTAAAAAGGGAGAAGTTTGTCTACCCTCCCTGCATCTTGTCCAGTGTTGCCCTTCTACCTTCCATCATCTGGCCCCTCAATTTTAGACTTCCCAGCCTCCTGAACTGTGGAAATAAATTTCTGTTCATTATAATTTACCCAGTCTCAAGTATTCTGTTGTAGAAGCAAAGTGGATTCAGACACCTGGCTAGCAGTTTATCAATTTTATATTTCTTTTCCAAAAGCCAGAATTTGCTGTTGTTGATTTTTTTCTATTGATTCCCTGTTTTCAATGAAATCAATTCCCTTTCTAGTTTTTATTATTTTATTATTTTGTGCTTGATTTGGGCTTAAATTTATATTTTTTCTATAGTTTCCTAAGGTGTAAGCTTACATTGTTGATTATAAATATTTCTTCTTTTCTAATATGTGCAGCTACTGCTATTGTTTCCTTAAGCTCTGCTTTTGCTACATTCCACAAATTTTGATAAATTGTATTTTAATTTTTATGTATTTCTAAATATTTTTAAATGTCTGAGACTCTTTTTGACCCTTTTTTAGAGTTGTATTTGTGTTTTTGGATTTTTCAGTTATCTTTCTGTCATTGATATTTAATTTCATTGTGATTGAAAACATATTTTGTATAATTTATGTTCTTTTAAATATGTTAAGTTGTATTTTACTTATTGCTCATATGTAGTCTATATTGCTAAATGTTCCACTTGAGCTTGGGAAGCATAAAAATATTCTACATATGTCAATTAGTTCAAGTTGATTGATGTTATTATTTATTTTGATTATATCCTTATTGATTCTCTGCCTGCTGAATCATTTTCAATTACTGAAAAAGAGGTATGAGATTCTCCAGCCATAGGAGTGAATTTATCTGTTTCTCCTTTCAGCCCTATCAACTTTTGCCTCATGTATTTTGATGCCCTGTTGTTCACTGCATACACATTAGGGATTGCTATATCTTCTTGAAGAGTTAGTCCTTTTATTATTATGTAATGTCCTTCTTTATCCCTGATAATTTTCATTATTCTGAAGTCAAGTTTGTCTGAAATTAATATAGCTATTCTAGCATTCACTTGATTAGCATCAGCATTCCATTCCTTTATATATATGTATGTGTGTGTGTGTGTGTGTGCACGCATGTGTGTTTGTATGTGTCAAAGGGTTTCTTGTTGAAAGCATATAATTATAGACTCCTAAACTGTGAGAAAACAAATTTCTGCTGTTTAACCTATCCAGTATATGCTATTTTGTTATAGTAGCCCAAATAAGACCGATACAGTGATTTAACTGGTTTAATAACTACTATGTGTGTAACTGTTTTCTATTGGTGGCATTTAAAAATACATTGCTCTCTTTTTCTACCTTCTCTGGCAGGTTTTGATTGAGCATTCAATATAATTCCATTTTCTTAGTATTTTATTTGATTTCCTCTTTATTCCTTCTCTGACACTCTTCCTTTTTTATGTAGATCAAAATTCTGACTTACGTAATTTTTCTTTTCTCTGAAGAAATTCTAATATTTCTTACAGAGAAGGTCTATTTACAATAAACCACTTCAGTTTTTATTTATCTGAGAAAACCTTTATTTTTCCTTTTTTGAAAATAATTTTGTTGGGTATAACATTCTAGGCTGGTGGTATTGTTTTTCTTCTAATACTTTAAATATTTCACTTCACTATCTTCTGATTTACATGGTTTCTGAGGAGAAGAAGTCCAATATAATTTTCATCTTTATTTTTCTATAGGTGAGGTGAGTATTTTTTTTCCCTTTGGCTTTAAAAAAACCTCTCTCTCTCTCTCTGCAGTTTTAATGTGATATGCCAAGGTGTTGATTATTTCATATTTATCCTGCTTGGTGTTTTTCTAAGCTTCCTTTATTTTGATTTGGTGTCTGTCACTAACTTTTGAAAATCCCGGACATGATTACTTTTAATATTTCTTCTGTTCTCCTCTCCTTCTTCTTTTTCTTTTGTCATTCCAAGTTCGTGAATATTGTACCTTTTGAAATTGCCCCACAGTTCCTGGATGCTCTATTTTTAAAATTGTTATTATCTTTTGTATTTTCTCTTTGTATCTCTGTTTGGAGGTTTCTGTTACCACATTTTCAAGTCCACTGATTCTTTTTTTGTCCATGCCCAGTCTCCTGATCAGTCTCCTGATCAGTCTGTTGATGAGCCCATCAAAGTCATTCTTCATTTCTATTACAGTGTTTTTGACTAGCATTTCCTGTTCACTCTTTATTAGAGTTTCTGTCTCTCTGCTTACAAACCCATCTGTTCTTACATGTCTACATTTATACTAGAGACTTTGACATAATAATCATAATGTTTAAAATTCCTGTCTAATAATCCCCAAACCTATGTCATATCTGAATTTTGTTATTATATTGCTTTATCTCATTAGGTTCTATTTTTTTTTCTTGCCTTTTAGCATGACTCATAGTATTTTGTCGAAATCTGGACATGTATTGAACAATAGGAACTGAGGGAAATAGGCCTTTAATATAAGGTTTTATGCTTATCCAGCTGGGGATTGGGCTATTTTTATGTTTATGGCAGATGTAGTTGCCAAAGCCTTCACTTTCCTCATTTACGTCTCCCCTCTTGTATTTGGCTTCCCAAGGAGCTACTCCTTAAATAGAATCTGTGTCTTGCAGCACTCCACTCTTATTATACTGAAGCCCTGTTGGTGATAAGGTACAAGAGAAGAAATATTCTGTAATTTTATGATGGTATCTCAGTGTTTTAGTGGGTCTGTGTGTCTGCACTGTGACTTTTACAGTGTTTCTAAACTTGTTTATTCTCTCCTTAGGTGAAATAGAAAGGCTGGAGGAAACTGGGATTGGATAGACACCTTTCTCACTGGTGTTATAAGCATTTGGTAAAATTGTTTCTCCTAGAGATTAGGCTTTTGTCATAGAGCATGTTCTGGGTTTCTCTCAAAATGATTTATTTTCCCCTCCTCCTACCAAAAATAAGAATTTTTTTGTTTTTAATTTCCATGGCTTGTTCACCATGAGAACCTGAGGATTCCTGGAGATAAAACTCAGAAAAGTGTGAGAACCCCTCTAGGACTGGGTGCCCAAGAAGTCTTACTCTAAGCCAGTTTACACTCGGCCTCTAGCAATTCATCAAAATAATCATTAAAGTGTTTCTACCAGTTTATAGCTCTTGTGGCTTCTGCAGCAGATAAGCTAATCTCAGCTGTGATTCTCTGTATTTGGCTATGATTCTCTGAGTTCGGCCATAACTCTATGTGTTCATCTATTTTTCTAAATTTGAGGGGCACAGTTTTTCCCCTGAACTCAATTATCTGATGAATTGAAGGAAAGTCATTGATTTTCAATATGTTGGGCTTTTTCTTATAAGGATGGAAGTAATGACTTCCAAACTTTTGACGTGTTGTAGCTGAAACTGAAGGTGTTTTATACATTTTGATGATCAACTTTCCATTTGTTTAGTATAATGCAATTGCTTTATTTACTTATTTACTTATTTATTTATTTATTGAGATGGAGTCTTGCTCTGTTGCCCAGGCTGGAGTGCAGTGGCGTGATCTCAGCTTACTGTACCCTCCATCTCCCGGGTTCAAGCGATTCTCCTGCTTCAGCCTTCTAAGTAGCTGGGACTATGCCTGGTTAATTTTTTTTTTTTTTTTTTTTTTTGTATTTTTAGTAGAGGCAGGGTTTAGCCATGTTGGCCAGGCTGGTCTCGAATTCCTGACATTAGAAGATCCACCCGCCTCAGCCTCCCAAAGTGCTGGGATTATAGGCGTGAGCCACCATGCCCAGCCTGCAATTGCATTTAATCAGTTGAATTAGTGATAACAGAAGGACTATCACTGATTGTTGCAAATTGTTTTAGCCTTCAGAGACAGGATTCTATTAGGCTTTCTTTCTACCGTTCCACCCCATCTCCCACTTCCCAGCCCAAATATTACATTCTGTTTGACATCTTCAAGTATGTTATGTTCAAAGTAAGGAAACAATCACCATAGATGAATTCCTGCAGGTGCTCTTTAAGTGTAGTTCAAAAGTATGAATGCTTTTGTAGATCAGTTTGAAAAACAGTGAAACCCTAGGACACTAATTTGAGTTGATTGGCATGATTCCAGGACACAGAACCCAGAGAGCTACCTGCTCTGCCTACTAGCTTCCTTTCCCAGTGCCAACAAGTCCTCCCAACTCACGTTAGTATTTCCCTGTTCATGCTCTGCCATCGACTCATAGACCAGCATGTGGTCTTGGGACCATCTGTTTCAGGATTACCTGGGATGTGTGTTTAAAAGGTCACATCCTAGAACTGAGTCAAGATCTTAGGATGTTGGGTGTCAGAATCTGAATATAAAACCCTTTTGCTCCTGCTCCACCACCACAACCACCATGGTTCTCATATTCACTTAAATTTGAATCCTACTGCTCTTGGAGTAGACATTTAAGAAACCACTAAGTTAGACTGAGTATGTATGCATACTGTACAATTCAAAAGTATTAACTGAATACTATTGTGCTGTAAAGAACATAAAAGGAAGGATATATACGATCAATGCCTTCAAAACACAATTTACTAGGGGAGATAGGATAAAACATCTAATTATAATACTCACCAAATTTAGAGACATGTAGTAATAGAAGCAGCAAGGATTACTTCTACTTAAGGGGATCAGGAAAGATTAGTGAAGAAGGTGACATTTACATCAAGCTCTGAGGCATGCAGAAGGAAAGGTGTGCATTCTAGGCAGAGGAAGCCCCAGGAGCAACAGCAAAGACCTTGGCAATGACTGGCATGTGTGTGGCAAATGTCGGAGAACTAAGAGGAAGAGATGAAGCCAAAAAGTAAACTGCGGCTATGACAGTCCTTGAATTCCAACTGCAGGAATTCTGCTTTATTCTGTTATTAAAGGAGGGAATGGTTATTGAAGGTTTCTGAACAGTGGATGACATGGTTACCCTTGAGAAATATTACGTCAGCAATGTGAAAGGAAAGACTAAGGTGAAAGACAGTTGGGGGCTGTGGCAACAGTCCATGTAATAGATAACAAAAAGCTCATCTGTGGAGCAGCAGTGGAGGCACAGAAGAGGGAATCTGAAGTATACTAGAAAGTTTTAGATTTGCTGCATGGTCCAATTTATTTCCAAAAAAAAAAAAAAAAAAAAGGCGTACTACAAGCACGGTGGCTCATGCCTATAATCCCAGCACTTTGGGAGGCCAAAGTAGGAGGGTCACTTAAAGCCAGGAGTTTGCGACCGGCCTGGGCAACACAGTGAGACCCTGTCCTTAAAAAAAAAAAATCAGCTGGGTGTACTGGCATTTGCCTGTAGACTTATCTACCTAGGAGGCTGAGGCAGGAGGATCACTTGAGCCCAAGAGTTTGAGGCTACAATGAGCTACGATTGTGCACTGCACTCTAACCTGGGTGACAGAGAGAAAGAGAGAGATCCTGCCTCTTAAAAAAAAATAGGGTAATGTTGAAGTTGATTCAATTTTCTAGTTTGTGTAAGCGGATGAGTGGTGACAATAAGCAAGTATAAATAGACTCAAGTCTATTGGAAGGTGTACCCATCTTAGGTGCTTTTGTAGATAAATGTAACCTCGAAAAATTTGAGGTGATGAAGTTTAGCTATTATGCAATAAGGATAGAATGTATAATGAAAGCAGCTCTCAGACCAAAATTGTGCCACACATTTAGACATTTATTAAATATTTTCTAAGTGGGCATAAAATAGTGCATACAACCTGTCTTGTAACCTTGTTGACATCCCATTTGTCTGTCCTTTAAGTAACTGACCCAAGCTTACATTAAATGTTCATTTGAGGCTGACTGAATAATAGAGGCAGGATTCAGGCACCTTTTTATTAACAATCGGGAAACTTGGATCCTCTGATTCAGTGGCTGGACACAGAGGGCCCTCTAGGGATCAAGCCTTGAGTGTCTTTTCATTTTTTTTTGAGACAGAGTCTCACTCTGTCGCCCAGGCTGGAGTGCAGTGGCGTGATCTTGGCTCACTGCAAGCTACTCCTCCCGGGTTCATGCCATTCTCCTGCCTCAGCCTCCCGAGTAGCTGGGACTACAGGTGCCCACCACCATGCCTGGCTAATTTTTTTGTATTTTTAGTAGAGACGGGGTTTCACCGTGTTAGCCAGGATGGTCTCGATCTCCTGACCTCGTGATCCGCCCGTCTCGGCCTCCCAAAGTGCTGGGATTACAGGCATGAGCCACCGCACCCGGTCTTTGGGTGTCTTTTCTAAAGTGGGACCAAAGGGCTTGTTAGAACACTTATTCCAGGCTTATGCAAGAATTAGAAGTATCATTAAAGTATCCTCAAATCTTAACTATCATTAATTTCACCAAGGAGGTCTTGTTTCTGAAATTCATTATATTACATAACAATATCATATCCAAGGCCAACATAGCTGGAACAGTATAGAAGGTACTTTATACAGTATAGAAGGTACTTCTTTATAGAGTGTCACCTTTCTGATATGATGGTAGCTTTCTAATTGACCATCCAAGAAATGAGAGTTCCTATTAGGACAGCTGACTTCCCTAGAGGGTACTTTAAACAAACATGCACATATTTACATCACTCTGTCTAGGGTGAAGTATTTTAAAGTAAGTTGCATACACGGTAACACCAAGATCTGGGATTCAAGAAGAGAAATGATTTCAAGGAAAGAAGAAAAATTTGCTTATGTAAATCCTGACATTCTACAAAAATATACAACTACCCATAATAGGAGATTTTTTGACCATTAAAAAAAATCTCTTTTCAAATCTACTTGTTCTTTGCTTATCTTTGGCACCATGTAAAATCCTCTGCCAATAGAAGAACACAGCAAAAGCCAAAAGTGGCCATTCCACCAGCAATTTTTTTCCTAGGTTCTGTATTTGAGAAAATTGGTTTTTCTAAACAAGCAATAAGGCAAGAGCATATCAGAACAAAGACTGGCCAGAGAAACAACATATTCCAACATGTATGGATTTTAAATGTGTTGATTCTCATAGAATGTTGCAGAAAATGAGAGTATGCAATATATCTGTAATCCAATTTGATTCAGTGAGACTGAGACTTCTTCACCTTAAATTCATTGAAGAGCTTCAGAGGGTACATGAAAAATAATTCTGTCTGTAGAGCCATAGCGAGGGATCATGATAGCAAAAAAGACAGAATGACCCGACCTGCACCAGTAGCCTATCTTTGATCTCTCCCTTCCATGCCTCCTGCTGCCTGCCCACTCTGCTGCTTGCAAAAAGCATGGATGGATAACACAGGACAGGGCTGTCACACAAGCTAGATGCTCTTTATTTGAAACTGGTTTCACCCTTAACTGGTTCTGCAAGTCCAAGGTCCTGAAATTACTTGACCACAGTTTTCCATTCTGTAAAAAGGAGGTAAGAATTGTGCCTGTCATGGAAATTGTGTGGGGATTACAGGAGTTAATGCATGTGAGGTGCTTAACAAAGGGCTGGGACACCGTACTTAATATATGTTAATGAGACCATTGCGGGATAGTATTGGGTGAGTGAGAACTCTAAATTGTTTTTGCAAAAGAACTAGCTTTTGTATTTTCTTCGTTGGGTAGACTCACATTTTACCTTGCCTCAGGTTTTCTGCATTCAGGCAGGAATCAGTTGAGCAGTTATAGTACTTGTTAGTTAGGTAAAAGTAAGGCTGATTTCCTTTGAGGAAGAAAGAGCAGAACATTTGGTAGCCTGACAAGGGAGGTCCCTGTCAACATCCCCTGCTATATAAAGGTGAGTAAATTGGCATACGGGGGCCAAAAAGCCTCCTTAGAGTAAGAGAGACCTTTGTCACCTATTTTGAGGTTCAATATTATCAGAAACTCTATGGTGAACTCCCATAATTTGAGATTAGTCAGCAGTGTCAAACAACCCATGTGACTACAAGGGACCAATTTCCAACAGTAACCATGTATGGCAATGAAGGAATCAATAACAATGATGGACTGAGCAGACTTACAATTGCTCTTAAATGCCCATGGGATTGAGTGATCCACAGGGTTAATAGTTGAAATGAGAGCACCTCAGGGAGGTATTATTGGATTCTGGGTAATACGGGGAAGCAAATTTTAAGAGATTAGTTAAGAAAATACAAGTGATAAGGCCATGTATTATGAAAAGCTATCATACTACTTACGTTGTATTCATGCATCCATCTATCCATTCATTCATTCCTTTACTCCTTCCTTTATTCACCCATCAACATGCATTTTTACAGGGGCTGTTTA
This sequence comes from Homo sapiens, assembly GCF_000001405.40. NCBI lineage: Eukaryota > Metazoa > Chordata > Mammalia > Primates > Hominidae > Homo > Homo sapiens. Next base: position 44,404,586 of record NC_000012.12, on the reverse strand, counting down.
AAACAGAGAGCTTTATAAGGCAGGGTTTTGGTTGCCAAGTGGCCAATAATCATATCAAGGAGACATGTTTAATGGGATAATGCAGGAAGGACTATCATTACATTTGATTTGTTACTATTTTGCTAATAAAATATTGTATACTCAGAAAAGCCTAGCCATCACCTTACTATATGTGCTAAATGTTTCACTCTGTGTATGTGTGTATGTGTGTGGGGTGTGTGTGTGTGTATACAAGCATTTGTGTTTACAGATTCTCAGAATGACAAAGTATGCCAGTCTTTGCTCAGTTTTAGTGTGGTGACTGCTATTTGGTGTGAAAGTTTGTTTTGCAAAACAATATAAAATTTCCAAAATCTACCAGTACTTGGAGAAGAAAACCTCAGAAAGCATGCTCTGGTGGGCTCTCCCTCATCTGTCAATGGAGACATGCATTTTTGCAATTCAGTGTCAGATCTGGCTCGCATGAAACCCCGATTGTCTTTTCTTCTGATGACAAACATAAACTGACCACATCAGAAGGGATACTGATGAAGACAGCTTTTCTTGTCACCAAGTAATGAACACCCACTTCAGCCCTTATGAGTCGAGAATAGATGAATTCCCATCTGTCACAGATTATCAGATATTTCTGCATCTGTTCAACAAAGGTAATTATTAACAATACAATTAAAGTAGGACTGCATCTGTGGATTTGCTATCTTTTTCCTTTGCTAATCTTCCATATTTTGCTTTTTGGTCCCAAGATGATAGAATAAACATGCTTTTTGGATGCAAGAGGGCATCTAATCCAATATTCCTTAATTAATGTAAGCTTTTAAAAATCATTCCAATATCCTTAGATGGTCTTTGAATACCTAGGCAGAATGAGAAAAAAACCTCACCGCACTTATTTAAAAATTCCTATTCATGGCAGTATCTTGTGGAAGTATTCTAACCAGCTGTCAAGCAGGCAGTTCTCCCCATAGCTTCCGGACAGCCCCAAGGCTCCCAGAAAGATAGTGGAGAGGGTCAGGTTGACAGATTGTTTTTGCTGTCTTAACGAGCACAAATTAACCTATTTTGCTGAAAAATCTCTCTGGATTATAACAGACAAACCATCTTTCACAACATGATACGTCTTTAGTGGGCTGCTCTGGTTTCTTCATGTAGGGGCTGACAGTCTAGCTTGCTGATTGTAGTTTGTTTCTAGTTAATTTTTTGCTATTATGACTCAGCCTTAGCATTTTCTGATAACAGATATTGATATCCACTGCTGAGTCATTTTGTCTGTTGGTTGTTTAATTCCTCTTTATAGTGAATGCTTTCTTGCAGGCATTAACATGTGTTGTAAAGATCTTCATATTTTGTGATCACTCACTTATGTCCATCCATATTCTTCCACAACCCCTGACCAGCCAACTAGGCCACATGTCACAGTCCATAAATCCATATATATTCCAACTTTGGGTTACTTTTCTCTCCACACAGAGGATATGACCAGGTAAACAAACCAAAGCATTGATCATTGGGAAGAATATCCCTTTTCAATGTTTTTCCATGTCATCCCTGAATATGCTATGGTTGCTGTCCATTTTCTGTTGATGTCTGCATACCAAGCCAAAACATCCATAAACCAAGGTTAATTTTTTTCCTTTCTAGTAGTTGGTCAGTTGGTGACCAGCATATGTTCAGAGGTGTGAGTTGAAAAAGGAATGCTATTATAATAAAGGGGGAAGCTCTGGGTGCCTGGACTTGGACTACCTGCTTATGCAGCTTACTTGTCTTCTCTGGTCCTGCTTGTGATTGATGCTGGATATACCACTTCCATCTCATGATGAACTATTGCTGGTCCTGCCCAACCTTATGACTAGGACTGATAGGACCCAGCCCATGATGAGCAATTGAATTGTATGGTCATGTGTTGTGCCATGGTAAGGTACCCCTTCTCTAGCAGGGGCCAGTACTATGTCAGAAGTTGTTTTTCAAAAAACACGCAATTACCTGCTGTAGATTGTATGGCCTTGCTTCAGAAACCCAGACACTTCTGTTGTGATCTCCCACTGCGGCATGACACAGGATCCACCTGGCCTCTTTTCTCAGCACTGATACCTCCAACACCATTGGGTTTACCTGTCTATGGCCCAAGTGGTGGCAGAGTTGCTTGCTGTGCTTCTTGGACTTGCTGTAGAGTCCTCTTCTGTTCTAGATTTAACAATCCCACTAAAACCTGGAAGCCTTTCCCATTGCCCAGTGTATCAACTGGAGAAGTATTTTTTGTGTGTAATGTAGGTGATATGGTTTGGCTGTGTCCCCACCCAAATCTCATCTTGAATTCCCATGTGCTGTGGGAGGGACCTGGTGGGAGGTAATTGAATCATGGAGGCAGGTCTTTCCAGTGCTGTTCTCATGATAGTGAACAAGTCTTATGAGATCTGATGGTTTTAAAAAGGGGAGTTTCCCTGCACAAGTTCTCTTCTCTTATCTGCCACCATGTGAGATGTGCCTTTCACCTTCTGCCATGGTTGTGAGGCCTCCCCAGCCACGTGGAACTGTGAGTCCATTAAACCTCTTTTTTTTTGTAAATTGCCCAGTCTTTGGTATGTCTTTATCAGCAGCATGAAAATGAACTAATACAGTAGCTCATTAGGCATTATGTTTCTTTTTATTTTATTTTACTTTTTGGTGGTGGGAAGTGCAAGGTACACTAATTTGGAAGGGATGTCAGCATGTTACTGACCACAGGGGCCCCTGAAATTTTATAAATGTTTCAGGCCTCACAATTTTCTCAGGGTCCATATCCTACCCTGTTGGGCACATATCTACTACCAAGACTTTCTGTATGCTAGCTATCTCTTGCTTATTTGCCCCTATAACTATAGTATCATTGATGATATTGATCAATGTGAAGTTCCCTAGGATATCTACATGGTCCAGATTTCTTTGGACTATGTTGTGACTGCAGTAGGAAAGTTATCCTTGGGTAAAACTATACATGTATATTCTTGCCTGATTCATGTAAATGCCAGTGGTTTCCAATACTCTTTTTTGATTGAGATAGAAAATAATTTATCTGATAAGTTAATCACTGCATATGCTGTACTTGAGGACATATTAATCTGCTCTAGCAAAAATATTGAAGTTGGCACAGCTGCTGTGGTTGGAACTATAATTTGGTTGAATTTGTGGTAATATCCTACCTTCAGGACCCACCTGCTTTTTCCAGAGGTCAGACTGGTAAAATAAGCAGATATATGATAAGGATGATTACCCTGGGATCTAGAGGTCTTCAAGAGTGGCATTAATTTCCACTCTTCCGCACTCTGGTGCAGTATTTTTTAATTTGTTATCTTGGCTGGGCATAGATGATTGGTTTTAGAGACTTCTGCTTGGCCTTCTTCACTTTGATAGCGTTCAGTCTATAGGCCAAGGACAAAATGTGGAGCTTACTTCAAGTATTAAGTGTATCAATCTCAACTATACATTCAGGGATGGGAGAAATGACTACAGGGCAGGTCCATGGATCCAGTGAACTTATTGCAAGCCGGATTTTGGCCAGGACTCCATTTATAACTTGGTTTCTGAGTGCTCCTCAATATAACAACAGACTATTATGACACTGTTGTAGTTTGAACACATCCCCAAATTTAATATGTTGAAACTTAATCCTGAAATTCATATGTTGATTGGAGGTGTGGCCTTTGGAGGTTATTAGGACTAGACAAGGTCATCAAGGTAGAGCCCTATGATGGAACCCTGATGGCTTTATAGGAAGAGGAAGAGGAAGAGAGACCTGAGCTGACACGCTCTTGCCCTCTCACGATGTAATGCCCTCTGCCATGTTATGGCACAGACAGAAGTCTCTCATCGGATGCAGGCACCATGTCCTTATACTTCCCAAACTTTCCTCCAAATGGATCTATAGCCATTTACTCAGGTAAGTGTGTAAAATGTGGAAGTTTGGTAGAATCATTGCCATAGTACATGCTATGGTGTTTTAGGATCTTTCTTCCTGAGGACCCAGTTCTCTCTTTGATCAACGGGCTTCAGGTCTTAAATTGGCTCAGGTCTAGAAACTGAACAAGGGTAATGATTTATTCGGGTGATTATGCTTAGTCTGCTGAACCTCTGTACTTAATTTCTTTTGCTGCAGCAGGCTGAGTATTACCCTAGTCCACTGCCCATTTACTTTGCCTGTAAAGACACATCTCCTATATTTTCTATAGATCTGACCCACTGGAAGCCACTCTAACCTTGCCAGGAATCACAATTAATCATTACACCCTGGATTTCATTATTCAAGCACCACCACATGGCCTCAATTATTTTGGGGTGTCATCAACTCCATTGCTATAAGTCAAGTAAATAGCAACCTTTCTCACCATCAGCTGTGGCCCTCTCTAGCTCTGGTGGTTGCTAGAGCTACCACTGTTCTAACAAAAATACTGCATCTGGCACAGCAGCTGTGATTGGACCTACTATTCGGTTGAGTATGTGGTTGTCTACGTTTAGATTATGCCATTGCCTTTCTTACCAATACATTTATTTGTTCTTGGTCAATGTTCATCTCCTGGGCCTTCCTGTGGAGCTTAATCATCCAGTGGCTCTTCTGGCCTTATGTCATAGTTCCATGACAGGATGTGTGTTGCTCCAGGGAGACTGTGTCCCTGGGCAAGGTGGCTCTCTACAGCTGAGGCAGACCCTAAAGGAGCTGACACCTGGAAGCTGTTCACTGAGTATATCACCTGCTGCTGAATGGAAAGTGCTTTGTAAGGGATCTGGGGCAGCACATCTCCATGTCTACCACAAGTGATTAAGAGGGTTTGTATTGGTATTCTTGCTGTTTTGTGAGAACTCTTTGCAGAACTGAAGTTTTTCTTTTGTTTTGTTTTGATTTAAGGAGCTAGAACTGGGACACTATGAGTACCTTTCTACTTTTGTATATTATTTGTACATATAAACCCAGATATATCTGCTATTGCTTCCCTATGTCTAGGCTTAGGTTAACTTTTTGAAGAACAGAATATATTTCACTTTATTATATGAAATGAAATATTTGCAGGTAATCCTTTTTGTCCTTATAAAGACTTGAGTTACAAGAGCCTTTTCTGAGGTCCTTCAGCTGGGTAGCCCAAGCATCATCTGTCACCATGACCCTGCTGCCTAGAGTGAGTACATGGAAAAAGAATCCCCGGAGCCAGTTTGGTGTGCCATCCTCCCACAAGCAGGTGGTGAGTAATTTCATCCAGTTGTGGAGAGGGAATCTTGAGACACCAAAGTCAAGCCAAAATTGATTTAGTTATTTTATTGTATTGATGGGGCCTTGAAATCTTTTCTTGGTCAGAGTATGTTTTTAAGTATGCTATACCTAATAATGTCATTTTCTGCTTAAAATTCTTTAGTGGTTTCCTGCTATCTTCAGAAGAAAGTACAAAGTCCTCAGCATGGTCAATGAGGCCCAAGCATGAGCTGAAACCTGCTCACCTCTCCCATCTCAGCATATCCTTGTTATAAAAAGTTTATTGTAAATAGACAAGTTATAGTTGTATGTATTTATAGAGTACAAAATGATGCTATGATTTTGTAATACAAATGTGGAATAATTAAATCAAGCTAATTAACATATCCATCCTCACAAACATTTATCATATATCCTGAGAGAGGCACTAGATATACAGGATTGAGCCATACAAATAACTAGAGGGAAAGATACACTTAAAACTCATAATGACACAAATAATGACTTAATTATAGCTATAGAAAGGACTACCTTTTTTTGAAGGTAGACTGTTATAAAAACAAATGCAATCTTCCCTGCCTTAGCAAAGCATTATTCTTTGGCATTATTTCAGTTGGTTTTTTGTGCAGGAGCATCCTTAGGTCTGTGGATTCGGCTTTGTTCAATCACTGAGTGACTCCTACCAAAATCCAGCGGTGTCCCAGTAGCCTGCCCCCAGCAGTTAGGCCTGTTCTCAGGAGCCAGCTCCTCCTGTGTGGGGGTGGGGTGGGCACTGAGGTGTTACTTTCCCCCATATGGTGTGTCTGGTGGTTGGGACTAGAATACAGCCTGGTCTCTTGTCTGCAGTCCATTTTCTACCGGTACCCTGCCCAAAACCCGAGACCATTTGATTGGAGGCCAAGTGACTGGTCAATCACAAAATGCAAACTGGTTGACGTCCCAGCTTGGGCTGTCTGTATGGCTTTCCTTTGGCTTCTCCCAGGAATGCTTCCTGCTTCAAACTGGACAGATTTCTCTGGGACAATGACAACACCCTGCCAGCTCCAGCAGTGTCTGCTGCTACACTTCCCTCCATATTGGATCCCTTGCATCATGGGCTCTTCTGCCTTCTTTGGCAGCTACTCCTCAACCCTTTCAAACAGAGGAACCTGCAGTGGAATTGGGCCCCTGGCTCTTGCTCCTGTTTTCTTCAATGTCCAGATTTATTTGTTTTCAGGCTTGGATGATGATACATATTTAAGTCCTTAGGTTTAAAAAAAAAACCAAAACAAAACAAACAAAAAAAAAAAACAACCACCCACAGAAATCCCTCTACTCTGTCCTTCAGAAAGGACAACAGGGTATGGGGCCGGAGTAGGGTGGAGTAGAAAAACAGCTTACACTCACTGCCTTTAGATAAGAGGTAACTGATGGTAAAATGCCAAGCAGGCAGAAAGAGGGGCCGTAAGACACTTCTTGTCTAACGTTTTGCCCTCCCTCCACTGTTGTCACTCTGTGTAGAATCCTGGCTGGCAAGGCTGGCTTGGATGGATACTTATGCTTAGACCTCACACAATTGATTTGCTTAGGGCTAGGTGCCAGGCTTCTCTTCCAGCCCATAAACAACTAATCAAATTAATGGATGCTGCTGCTGGTTCTCATCAAATGCCATTAAAATATAACTCTTTCATGAATAATTCTAAACATTGACTCAAAGCAATTGATTACAAGAACTATGTATTTCAAATGGGAGGAATAATTGATGTTTTCAACATGTAAATAAGCTTCTAGGGAGTTCTGAGATACCAGTTATAAAAGTACAGCTATAATCACAGTTCGTCCGAGTTTTAGAGCTTCCGACTTGTGTTTATTTTCCAGTTGTGGCTTTCAGAGAGCAACATGTAAAATGCAAACCTGTTTCATCATCTCAATTTCATTCTGTCTGGTCCTGCCTGTAAACTTACTAAGTGCTATGGGTCTGCACTTAGAGATATGAACTGTAGAAAAACATAAAGAATGGGGACATTATATTTCCTTTCTTTTAAAAGACTGGCATCTCAAGATACAGAGTCAGTCATCACATAACTGCCTTCCCATCAATCACAGTCAATTCACTCATGAAAAGCTCTAGTAGAAGAAGAAACTGAAGAGTCAGGTGAGGATATTGCACTCTTGTTTCAGAAATTAGTGCAGGGGACTTCTAGCTGCCCCCTCTGACTGGCTGCTCTTTGTTTTAACTCTCTCATGCTTTGTCCTGGTTTGCTCTCACTCCCTACCGTGGGCCTCCCTTACTTGATAGTTTTGTTCAAGTTTTTCTGGCTCAACTGGGATACTCGCTTTAAATTGGATTTTTTAAATTTTCTATTCTTACCCCTCATTTCCCATATTGAATGTAAGAAATAATCCTGCCTCCCTCTTAACTGAAAGGATTTGACTGGCAGAGTCATGGAGTCCTCTATCATGGAGAGGATCAGATAATTTGAGAATATTATGCTACATAAATGAGTCAATTCTTTTTCTTTTCTTTCTTTTTTTTTTTTTTTTGGAGTCTCACTCTGTTGCCCAGGCTGGAGTGCAAAGGCACAATCTCGGCTCACTGCAACCTCCGCCTCCCTGGTTCAAGTGATTCTCCTCCCTCAGCCTCCTGAGTATCTGGGATTACAGGTGCCCGCCACCACACCAGGCTAATTTTTATATTTTCAGTAGAGACAGAGTTTCACCATGTTGGCTAGGCTGGTCTCGAACTCCTGACCTTAAGTGATCTGCCTGCCTTGGCCTCCCAAATTGCTGGGATTACAGGCTTGAGCCACCGCACCCGGCCTAAATGAATCAATTCTAAGTACATTATTTCACTTAATATGTAGTTATTCAGTCAAATTTTATTGAGTCAGAAACTATAAAGCTAATTAATTCCTCCCCCCCACACCAAGTCATCATTATAGGCAGGATCAAAATGTTTATAATCTAATAGGAGACACAGATATATAAACATATAGTGGAAGAAATGCTAAAGATACTATAATAGATAAAAGGTAGGTCATATAGGAACACAAGAGAGGGGCAGTACATTTTATTTTGGAAGATGAAGAAAGACTTAATAAAAGAGATGATATTTGAATTGGTCTTGCTGGTTATGGTGGAAAAGCGGATTCCAAACAGAAGACACTGAGCAAAAGCAGAGTTGAGTGGTACAAGTGATGCAATGGAGAGCTGTCAGTAGTTCAACATGGCTGCAGGGTTAGAAGTCACTGGACAGGGGAGAGAAAACCAGAGAAGCTGGCATACAGTCTTGAGTGCCAGGCAGTAATATGCATTTTATTAGTGGTTCTCAAATTGATGTTTGTAAGAGAATCACCTATGGAACTTTAAAAACTCAGCTCAGCTCTAGCTCCATCCCAAACCCACTGAATGTACTTCCAAGTGTGAGGCATGGCTGGGCATATTTTGCAAATGCTCTTCTGACCAGAAACTCCTGAAACTTGTTCCATGTCCTTTGTGGGCATAGAGCTGAACAGCATTTCCTAGCATTCCTTGCAGTTAGGCACAGGCTGTAACTGAGTTCTGGCCAATGGAATGCAAGAAGTGATATATGCCACTTCCAAGTCTATTCCTGAAAATTCTTACAGCATCTTCCTCACCTGCTCTCCTTCATCACCAGCCTGCTGAATATGCTGAAGACTGTAAGACCCTAGAAAGTCAAAGAACCTCTTGCTGAAACATGTCTGAGTCCCTGAGTCATTGTATGTAAGGCTACCCAGTGAACACCCAGTTCAGTGGCCATATGAGCAAGGAATTGATTTTTATTGTGTTAAGCCAGTGGGATTTTGGACTTGTACACAATACTTTTGAAAACCACTGCTGGGCAATAACTGGCCACTGAAAGTGTGAAGTGTTACAATCGGATTTACACTTCAGAAATATTATTCTGGTACAAGTGTGGAGAATAGATAGCACTGGAAAAGGTGAGAGCCAGGAAGACCAATTAAGATTAATTGCAGTCATCTTTGGAATAGAATATGAGATTGCAGCATGGCAGTAGTGATAATGATGGGGAATAGGATAGTGGACCAATTATAGGAGACAGAAGTAAATAAAATCTATTCATTTTGGAGACCATTTGGATATGTAAATGACAGAGCCTCTGAGTTTTCTAGTGTATTTGAAGTTCAACATGTTGTGCTTCAAATGCAAAAACATTATAATTTGTTCAAAGATAATTTTATAGTAATTTCATGGTTATCAAGCTTGAAGAGTAATTGTTAGAGTTATCTTTCCTGATATGGCCATTGCTCTTCGTCTCATCTTACACATTTTGTTTCAGTCAAGAGTAACTGTTTTTAAATGCAGATATTTTCTAGTGTGGTTTGGTTGAAGTCAACTGCTATCCAGATAAAATGATGTATTCAAAGCAAATAAGTCTATATGGTGAATGGAAAACCCTGACACTGTTTTAAAATTTTATTCTACAAAGCACTGTGGCTTGGCTGAAGTGTTGCCCTGATTCCACAGGCTGCCAAGGTGAGCTTTCTAAAAGGCAAGGCTAGAGTGACATCCCAATTCAGAAGTGGCTACCTCAACTTCATCCAAATACAGCTGGAAGATCCTAAAGTGCAGGGGCTCAGGTGCATGTGTCAGCTTTCTTTAAATGCTGAAGACACAAGCACTTTCACTTCAGGATTTATGAAAGGTGGTGGATTACTGGCAAGATGAGAGTGTCCTGATAAGAGAAGCTAGTAAAGAAATCATAAAAAGAAGGAAATAATTTAGAACTCTAGAGCCTAGGAAACCTTGAGGAATAAGTTTGGCCCAGCAGCTCCAAGGGATTATGACCATTGATTTCACACAATATAGCTGCTTGCTTTAAACTAAGGGATCTGAACTTCTGTTACAAGTGAAAAGGGATTACATTGCAGCTTGTAGAGTTCAAAGCAACCAACAGGGACAGAAAATTGGGAGCAAATGGCCTAACCATGTTTAATGGCAGCATCAACTTGGAAGAAGCCAAGGGGGTTCTGTTGAAAGCTGGGCACTAGAGGGGACTGGAGCCCATGCCTGTCATATTCACCTCACATCTGCATGACTTGTTGCAGCTACCTGCATGCTTTCACATATATACAGTCTTCTTTGGTCCTCTTCGAAACCCTGTGAAGAATTTCCATTCCAGGGATGAGAATAGGGCTCATCACGTCAAGGGAAACATCTTCATGGCCAGTCTTGATACCTGGATAAGGATTCTTAAAAATAATAAATTTGGAGTCATCATTTCAAAATATGGTTTTCAAAATATGGTTGTCTCTAGAGCCCATATTCAAATTATGCTTCCTAGAACTGGCCATTAGCTAATCTTTTTTTCCCTTGTTTTAATATTCATAACTACCAGTTCTTCCTCTAACATTCTCCTGGGGATGTGTTCAAAACATGCAGAGCTCCAGTCTCCCTTCCCCAAAGAAAGTGAAATGACAAAAGAAACAAATTCCAGTGCTAGGAATTGTATTGAGACAAATCTGTGTTGTGGTTTTAAAAATGTAGCTTAAATCAAAACACGGGGCAATGAACTGACTGCTTTTGCCATTTAATTTGACCTTATCTGTTTCAATCATATGCTTTAAATTGTAAATTACATCCAGGCAGTTATTAAAAATTAATATTTGACTTAGATTCTTGAGCGGTAAGAATTGCTAGAAGTTAAGCATATTTATGGCTTTACAACCATTTCCCAGGTTATCCTTACCAAAGATCCCATTTGATACAGATACTCTGGTTTTGATGGGTGTTTATAGATGTTTGTGATGGAAAACTGGAGTCAGACAAGACTGAATTCCAATCTTGACTTTGCATTTGGCTAGCTTTCAGTCCTCGGGCAAGTCAAAAAAACCTCTCTAAGCCTGAGGTTCACCATCTGTATAGTGAAATTAACCCTACTTACCTTCAATTGTTAAGGTTAATGTGAGTATTGAATGGAATATTTATTTTCACATAGAAAATATTCAAAATGGTGGTATCATTAATATGAGAATTAAGCAAAGATCTGGATAGGGTGAAAAAGTTTATTAGAGCAAGGAGTATCTATAAATTTGTTTTGTTACTGTGATTCTCAATTATAAATTATCGTGGTCTTTCTCAGTTATGTAAGTCCTTAAAAAGCCCAATAGTACAGTTGGTATTAAGGAATTTAGACCTTAGGAGAGCTTATGTTGGAGGTAGATATATAAACCTGTGAAATATATGTTTTATATTCACTAAAGTAAAATAATTGATACCTCACACTAAATTAAAATATTATCAGTAGTATTTTATACATATTAAATTAGTAATACTTTCCAATTTTGTTTCTCATTAAATTTTTTCAGAATCTCTCTCTAGGAGAAAGTACCTGGAAGATATTTTCATTTACAGGATATCAGCTTTTATATGCTGATAATATGCTTACAAGCCAAATTTGCCCTGATGTTTGTTCTTCCATCAAGGATGTTCCAGTCTCTCTAAATTGATGTGATTTTTCTTTCTCTTCTCATGTTGCCTACTGTAGTTTCTTTCACAGTAACACTTCTCCCCTCCCAGGTCTCATCATGCTCCCTGGGGTAGACTTAGAGTAATTTCAATGCTAGAATGTTTAAGAAGCCGCATGTTCTCACTCATAGGTGGGAACTGAACAATGAGAACACATGGACACAGGAAGGGGAACATCACACCCCGGGGCCTGTCGTGGGGTGGGGGGAGGGGGGAGGGATAGCATTAGGAGATATGCCTAATGTTAAATGACGAGTTAATGGGTGCAGCACACCAACATGGCACATGTATACATATGTAACTAACCTGCACATTGTGCACATGTACCCTAAAACTTAAAGTATAATAATAATAAAAAAAAGCCAGCTAACCAGCAAAACAACTAACCAACCAACCAGCCTTTTATGTAATACCCTCAGTCAGCTATGTTGAACATAACTTTTGAGTCCTCTACACAACACATAAGAGTACTAGCCTAATGAGAATTTTATGGTAAAGTTCCTTTCATAGAGGCTATTCTCTCCCTGCAGTTTTAAAGCCTGTTTAAAGTAAAACTGCTGTTTTTATTTCTAAGATTTCATTGCTGAAACCTCCACTTGTTCTCCACCATCTGCCTAACCTTCTCTTTTCATTATAAATATCCACCTCTTTTTCTAGTTTCTTCAACAAGAGTGACTTGTGAGTTATAAATACTACATCTAAACTTCCCTAGTTGTTCAAATAAGACAGTTCTAGGCCAGTCTAAATGGAAGCAACCCAAACGTTTCTGAGCTTGACTCTGTTACCTATATTTATACTCACTAATTACAACTCTATGCACACAAACATGTTTAAACGTCTAAATGGGGATAAATGAGGAAAGTGCCAGTTTATCTGCTGCAGAATTAATTGAGTTGCTCTTGCTGTCTCAAGGGTACGGGCTGGCTAATAGGTCAGAGTTGGGTTCTGAGGGACAAAGCTCGAAGAAATCAGGCCAGATAGAGTAGTGAGCCAAGTCAGTCTCAGAGGGAAAAACCAATATAAGCATAATACCCTACTTGTAGCTGCCTAAGCATGAGTTGAAATTTAAAATAAGGGTTAGTTCAGAGTGAAGGCAGATGAGAAACAATGGCAGGGTACTGAGGTCTTAGCTGAATGTCAGATAATCCAGTTGGCCTCCTGAATTATCAGTTATAGAGACATTTAGGATTTATTAGCATTGTCTTTCTCATATTTCATATTGGGCTGTGTTGGTGACCCATGGGGAAGCCAAATAATGTGATAAAATTGCTTATGGAGCCCAGTGGTGAGCTACCATGTATTGACTCCCTCCTTCAAATCTGAATGCCTGTGTTGGACTTCTTTCCACTGTACTGTCAGCCAGTGGTGCAGTGTTTTTGGACATTACTTGTGTGAAATCTGATACTACAAAAATAAAAAAAATTTGTACCTGGTTGACTCTTAGGGCAGATGGAGAAGAAATAATTCTTAACATTTTAAACAGAATTTGCTGGTGATCTCAGCTATGCTAAAAGATAAGGTAACATAAGTAGCTACCATGGGGAGAAAATAGGGTAACTAATTATGATTATACAATACAAATAGACATGTGGTGATGAGATTTATGTCTAAGTGTATATTATCAGGCACAAATTCATAGTGTTTATTTAATTTTCCATTTCAACTACTAATGAAGTACTTTATAAATGTAGGATACTAAAATTATGTCAAATTAGTTCAAATTCTGCACTATGTGGAAGAAAGTACTGTAATTACTGAACAGTAGAAATATAATTGTTTATAGTACTTAAGCATCACTGCAATTAAGACATCACATTTGTTAAGCTTTCTTTAGAATCTGTGCTTAGTAATTTTTTAAATCCTTTTTTTTAACCTCAATTTCTGAGATTGCTACACATCTCTTTTTAAAATGTCCTTAATAGTTTAAAAGTTTTGGTATTCAAAAATCTCTGTAGAGTCTCAGTCTATTGGTATGACTCAGGATTCAAGACTGAATGTGAATGGATTTAATTTTTAGTTTATTTCATTTTAGTATCTTTACTTGGTATAAATGCAATACCCAAAAGAGGCAGCAAAAGAAGAAAGTAGATCCATATGTAGGTAAGAAAAGGTCACTATCAGTATATACAATTCAACAGTTGGAAGCCTTAGAAGGCTGAAGTCTTGTTTGACTATTAAAATGTCCTTGGAAATTGTTCCATTTGTTACTAAATTTATGAAAATTTAAATATATATTTTCATTTTTTTAATAGTTTTTCTAGCTAATCCCTAGAAACACATAAACATGTTGTTCTAAGTTTGTTATTTTTTTTCTGTCTTACTTCTGCTAATTAGATTTTCTCATTAAAACATTTTCCATTAATACCCATGTAAAAATTCTCAAATAATATTTTTATAAGTCATGCATATTGATAATAAACGTCTACTTTCTAAATCAACTTCTTTCGTCATTCTATAAGACAATGACTTTCAGAATAAATAAAAATGTGGTACTAGGTGTTATTATTTACATGTCCCAGAGCTAAAAGTTGAATGTTCTAGGCTGCCAAAATTTAGTAATAGCTAGTGTTGCCACCTATCAGACATACATGGTAAGTTCCTTTAGATAGTATGGGCAATGGGTTACTATAGTGAGCTTGATCTCTGCATTTGTGTGTGTGTGTGTGTGTGTGTGTGTGTGTGTCAGATATGTTTATGATTCTAAGTAGCACCATGCATGGCTATTAAAGGTAAAAGTAACAGCAGGGGCATGGTTCCAAATGCTTAGTAAAGATGTTTATTAAAGCTGGCTCTCAAGTGACAGATAAATGCATAGTTCTATTATGCATGCTAAATTCAGTATGCTGCAAGCTTAAAAGTAGATAGATCAAAACAAGAGAGATTTAAAAAATCATAAAGAAAAAATGCAGCTATGTCAGTGTGTGACAGGAAAATAATTTTTCCTTAAAAGTGATCTCCCTCACCCCCTCAAGAAACGTAACCACAATTTATGGAACAAAATTGAAAGCAAGTTGGCAGTGTGCCTTCTCTTAACTTGCCTGGCATCAAGCTATAAAAACCCCATGTAAATGGACTTTTCTTAAGCCAAGATACAATTAAACAAAAAACTACATCACATAATCACTGCTGTATAATTCTTATTTATTAATGTGCAATATTTAGTTCTTAAAAAACAAAAACAAAAAACACATACGCAAAACAAGACATTAAACAAATTCTTTCATGCACGGCTTCTCTACCTGACAAGGTTCCGCTGCATGATTTTTTGAGGAGTTCCCTTGCTCAGGGTTGGCATATGTTTTTCAATTTTCACTATCCAGAGCCATATTTGCAGAAAGATATACGAATATTGTAAATGGTGGGATGTGCTGCTCTCATATGATGAAAACTTCAGTTCCTTGGTTGTCTGGGACTTTGTGTAAATGCCAATAAATTTGAGAGTTCGCCCAACTGTGTCTCTTAACCTTTGTTCCCAAAGGTGAAGGGCAGGATTTTTAATCAAGTAGCAATTTATCTTTAATTAGGAAAACATAATTAGGTATCATCACCTCATTTCAATTACTGGTGGGAGAAAGTCACATTTCACGAGTAGTGACCCATGTTGGGTTATGGATCTCCTATTACTGAATTTTGCATCTGTATTTATATTTGGCAGACAGCCAATAAAAATTAAAAGGTGATCACCATGTTTCTCTGCAGTCCAGTTGTCAAAGTCACCAACTCTGCTGCTGAATAAGAAACCAAGAGATACTTCCTGAGTCACATTTAGCTATTTCTGTTTTCTGCTCAGACATCAAGTGTAGATCAAAATAGTTGTATACAAAACGCCCATGTGAAATAGGTTAGGTAACTGTTCCACACTTCATTTCTGGTACAGTTAAAAACAGTTTAATGTCTCAAGGCACCACTATGGTTGAACATCAGATACATGGGTCATCAGCTAATCTTCCACTATGCTGTAAAGTCAGTAATAGCTTGTGCAATTGTGAAAAGCAATCTCTAGAGGACTGTTGAGTATACAGTAGGCACGTGTATTATAATACAAATAGAAAACAATGAATCCTAGAAAAAGCATGTTGAGCACCGTTGTGGCATTGTTCATATTTTTACCTAACACTACGTAAACCTTACATATACAAAAGGAAAGACTAAATTTTTAAAGTTACACTCAAGGTTGCTTTTTGTGTTATCTCCAAGTCTATCTCCGAGTCTAGTTCGTAGGTGTACTTTTAGAAGTCGTTGGGTCTTGATCAGCTTCTGTTGCACTAGTAGATTCGTTCAACTGTGAGCTCAAGTTTTCCGAGGTTAGGTGGGAAGACTTGTAGACGATCTCATTGAAGTCAGACCTGATGCAAACCAAAGAAGGGTCATTCAAGGGGTCTTCTACTGAAGCCTGGGTGTTTTCTCGAGTGATTCCCATGTCTTTGCTATGTTCTGATGGAGATTTTCTTTTCATGCGAGTGTAAGTTTTGTCTTGATTCTCCATGCGTGGCTCATTTTTCAAAAATCGTCCAAAGAACCAAATAAAGAATCCAAACCACACAAAGGCTATCAGGCTTGGAACAAAGGCCAGACACTTGACATCAAGACTGGCTCCTATGAACCTGCTGTGTAAGAACATGTCTCCCTCAACATATGTTTTATTAGTCCGAGGGTTAGTGTGATTGGACCTCCATTCCCAGGATAGCTTGGTTCTGTTCAAATCTTTTAAACTTTCTGAGTCTTTCACTGTATATATCTTCTGCCCCGGGCCGATATATTGCCCATATTCATGAGGTTTATAAAATATTTGGTTCTTCCACATATTAAGATCCAAAATCAAGACGAGGAAGATAATTCCATAGTTAAACCATTTGCCTGCATTAAAAAAGAAATACTGCATTAATCAAAGGGCCATAAAATTGCAATAAGGTTTTCTACAATAAAATGAGGATAATGGTATAATAACATCAATTGTTAATGTTTCAGACTGGTTAACAATTAATATTTTGAGAGTGCTGTGCTGCCATTAAGTGAATTGGCAAAGGGAATTTACTAAATGGATTCTGGGCATATGAAAACACAACTGTAGGTCCCTGAGCCAGTAATTTATGGCATTTATACTAACAAGATTAAGTCTCCTTGTTTTATAGGCACCACAGCTATACTCAAATTTGGTTCCATGTAGGTTATCCTCTAGAACATTTCAATTAATGTGAAAAAACAAAGTCTAATGAAATTCTTAGAAAAGTTCAATGTATGATTGAACATCTCTTACAGTTTTATAATTATGTCTGGGCAAGAAATAAATCATTTTGCAATGCAAGCACAGCAGTATATCAAATTAATTCATATTGCTGTTTGTAGGTGACCTGTTGATTAAACCATTAGTTGATGTGATTCAGATCAATAATCCTTGAGCATTCAAGACTTTAAAAATAATTACATCAAATTCTCATTGAACAAAATGCATTTATCAGACATAAATGTAACCATACCTTATGAACTGCTTGAAAAGATATATTTGAAGAGATTGCAACTATTATTTCTTTTTTTAATATTTAAAATCTTATATAAATACAATATTTAATGATCTTTTATCAAATGATATTTTTACATTTGCAAATGGAAAGAATGTGGAAAAACTTTTCAGGTATACTAGAAAACTTTTCAGGTATACTAGAGTCCATTATAATTTTTATTATGATTTCTACAAATGGACAAAAGGTGAAAAAACTTTCGAGTGATACTAGATTCTATTATAATTTTTTATTATAAATTATTGCAAGTATCATGTATATTATAATAATACAGTAATACCTACCTCATAGGTTTGCTGTAGCAAGTTAGGGGACGTATGTACCAGGTTCCAGAAGCTTTAGTTATAATAATTTTATGTATTATGCCAAAACTTTTTTCTTTTGTATTTGAAGTAACATTATTTAACGTTATTGTTACTGCTTCATATGATTATGTATTTGGCAATATACAGTCTAACAAAATATCTAGCTACATAAAAATATAAAAGACATAACTGCGAGGAGTTTAGGAAAATATTTTATCATCATAATTACATATTTTATTAAAGCTCCTATTATATGTAAGGCTAAATACTTTTAATCCTGGCTCCAAAATTACTAGCTGTGTGATCTTGAGCCAGTTGTTAAACACTCCAAAGCCCAGTTTCTTTACATGCAGAAAATAATAGTATTTATTAAAGTTGTCAGAATTTCATGCGATTACTAGATGCTAAGGACAGTGCCTGGTACATAATAGGGGCCCAGTAATTGCTATAATTATCATCACGAAAGCCTTGCCTAAACCATGATAATTTTTTTATTTGCATGAGAAGGTGCAACTTGCTCCTCTATGAAGAGAGCTTACCTAAACTATATGAAGGGGAATAGTAACTGCTTGTCCTGACATTGTTCAGCTATATAGAGTTTATAATATTTGAAATGAAAACTCTTGCCTGAATGATTTTTTTGGGCATACCCAACTGGAAAGTAATTTTGAACATTGGGAATGTTGTCTCAGATATGATAAAATATCTATAGCGTCTGGTGCTGTTAAGTTCAAACCACTCATGAGATCTTCAAAACTAAACCAGGTTCATATTAAAGATCAACCATAACAGACTCCGTGTAGAACACACTGGTAGATGCTGAAAACATATGTCTCTGCCTTTCAGAAAGGATTTCATCATCTTGTTAGGGGAACAGGACAGAGATCAACAGATAAATAGTGAGAGGCTACATCTGGAGGTGCCAAATGAGTGATACAAACCATAAATGCTGTAAATATTGAGGAAATGGAAAAAAACTGAAGGATACTTTCTGCAGGAAAGATTTTGAGGACGGAACAATTCATGTGGTCCTTGAAGAACAAGCAGGACAGAAAATAGTTTGGAAAATTTTGTGTTTATTTTCGTTTATGCTTTCAGTATGTTGTAGATAGAACAGCATATATAAAAGATGAGATAACATGGAAGAAAGAGGCTGAGGGGAGAGAAAAGGAAAAGAATGGAGATTATTGTAGAAAAAGGCAGGAAAGGGATGAGAAACAGGAGAAATGAAAAAGTTCAGAGATTCTTATCCAGTATTAAGGAGACACTAATCTGTAGATTCCATGACAGAAAGCAAGTTGAAGGAGGGGCTTTGGGTTCTCCTCTGTTGTCGGAGCTTTATATTTATTCTCTTGCTGTAAACTGTACATGTTACAAAGCCAGACCAGATGGTGGGGGAAGAGGTCCTTGTGCTTGTATGACTGATCACCGTCTCCTTATAAAATTTTTATTTTCCTTTTGAGACAGTGTCTCACTCTGTTGCAAGGCTGGAGCACAGTGGTGCAATTATAGCTCACTGCAGCCTTGAACTCCTAGACAAAACAATCCTCCTGCCTCAGCCTCCCAAGTAGCTAGAACTACAAGCTCAAGTCACCATACCTGGCTCCCACTACTTTCTTGACTCCCAAAGGTTTCTTTCTCCCAAAGAACTTTTCCAGCACTATTTAATTATTTTTCTACCAAGTGAATAGTGCTGGGTCAGTTTGACCACTAAACTTGCACACCCAAGGATCACTTTTTATTATTTCTCATGTGTCCTGATGTCTGAACATTTAGATGGGGTGGAGAAGGAGCAAATTAAAACTGTATGGCCTAACATCAGTTAACGGATATCATCACCTACTCCAACACATCTTTACTGGTTTGTAAAAGGGAGCACCATGGCAACAAAGCTGCAGGCTGGAAATGAGCAGATGGGCATCTCATCCCAACACTGAACTTAAAGCATATGACCTTGGGTAACCTGTTTAACCTCTCTAGACCACGGTTATTCTATTTTCAAATTGAGAAAACTGAACTAGATGCCTTCCAGTTCCATAATTCTGCCCTTCTACCCCAAATCTGTCTACTTATTGGTCGTGTATAGAATCCAATTTTTTATTCTGTGAAATGGAGAATAATACCAGTGTAACTACCTCAAAGGATTATTTGTGAGGATAAAATGAGATGTTGTGTTAGAACATTCTCTGAAATATATTGTTTGCCAAAAATGTAGGGTGGTATTATTTCTCCAATTTATTTCTCTACTTCTTCAATCCAGACAATATAGGATCTTGGTGACGGAATAGAGGGAGAGAAGGACACATAAGGATTGTAACAAAGATATATCCTAAAAGTGATTACATTATCTAATTTTTCTGTTGGAATAAAACAGTATGCATTACTAAATACCAACAATAATAGGAAGATGACATGGGACCAGTTATCCAAGAGGACTCAGTGTGTGGCTCTATGTAAATATGCTTTCTAAATCAGCATATTTAACATGTTAAAAATCCTTAGCAATTAGTAGTTTGTCTACTGCTTGCAGTAGTATTGGCCCTGAGGAAAGACCTTTTATATCTATGAATTTTGAGACTAAAAAACAGGGGATCGTGTCCCTACCTCTCCCCCACAGAAGAGAGGCCATGTGGGGGTGGGGAAGTGCAGAGGGGAAGGGATGCAGTGAGCCAGGCTGCCTATTCATATCACATTTCCCTTCTTCTCCCTCCTGCGCATGCAGCAGTGTCCTTCTCTCACTCAGCTGAAACTTGAAGCTGCTAAAATGGTAGAAAAAATGGCCCTTTTTATTATTTTTGTTTGTTTGTTTCTGCCCATCTGACATGACCTCTAGTTCATTTATCTGTTTACAGAGGAAGGATGTTCATCTTTCTCTGTCATCCATCTTTCCATTTTTCCCACACACTGTGTCGTTACCTTGGTAATGCTTTCTCCTCCTTAAAAAATTCCTTTTGCCCTATCAGAT
Organism: Homo sapiens; assembly: GCF_000001405.40. Lineage (NCBI taxonomy): Eukaryota > Metazoa > Chordata > Mammalia > Primates > Hominidae > Homo > Homo sapiens. Next base: position 44,384,093 of record NC_000012.12, on the reverse strand, counting down.
GTGGCAAAGCAGAAGGTGAAGTCAGGCAGGGCAACCCAACCCCTGTGTTCTTGTCTATAAAGTGAGGGAGTTGAGCTAGATAATCCTTAAGATTTCTTCCCAGCCCTAAAAGTTTCTTTGATGAGTCTGTGAAATAAACATTGCCTAAATCTTAGTGTTTTATGCTGGGCCAGAAAATCTCAACATTAGAGCAAAGAAGATGGAATATACAATTTTAGAAGGAGAAAGGTTTTCTGAAAAAAAATTGTATCTTCTGAGAAACAGTGTTTACCATAAAAAATAAATTTGAGTCCCTGAAATGACCCAGATAGAAAGGATTTAAGACAAAAAAGAACAGAATAGAAAGTGCTTCTATAGCCATTTTCCCAAGTGTGTTGTTGTGAATATACAATCGACAGTAACCAGAGGGTTGGTATTTCAGCATTAATCATATGAGAGCTTTTGCATTTTCCCCTGTTGTTTCAACTACCTAGCACAATGTAAATCAGCAAGGAGGTAGGGTAAGAATCCATACATTCTTTCTATTAATCTCCTTGTTGAAATACTTCACTATCTCCTCTAATGAGAAATCACTGCGTGGTGTTGGTGGGATTACCTCTTTTTTGGTTTTTGGGCTTTTAATGAATCCTACTGGTTGTCAGAGATGATATTATAATGAAAATTTTATCTTTTTACTTTGTGGGAGTTTACAGAATCTGAGGATAGATCATTTTAAAAGGATTCTTCATTAAATATCACCCTCAAATAGCAAATGACAACAATTTGAGGGAAAGTGTTATTTTTTTCAACTAAGGAAAAAGACTATAAGGTACTGATAATTCCACCATATAATGAACTTTTCATGACTGAAATATGCAAATATAATATTTTTAATCTTTTACTCTGCAGAGGTGCCAGTTAGCACTGTGGATGAGCTGTGCTGTGGGCCCCTCTCTACCACATGGGTGCGATTACTTGGCCAGACTTTGACATCTAGTGCAGGTGTATGGATGTGGTTACGCTCCCCAAAGTCATTCAGCAACCATCATGGGACAGCACAAAACCATGGCCTTGAAGAAGATGAATTTTGGATAAGTAAAAGAAATATGCAATTTGCTGTATCAGTCTTCTTGGCCATCCATCCTAATCTCCCCTCATTCCAGATGTGAGCAGTAAAAACAGGGCTCACGAGTTAGCATCTCTTCATGTCTCTCCCTAGGCAATTTAGGGATATCTAGAAACCACATTAAGTGCTTGGGTCATGAGGAGGCCATTTCGTAAACTGAAAATATTTACTTATTAATTTATGAAGTAGTCATAATTATTTGAGTTATCAAAGTACCTTCTTAAGACTTAAAAACAAACTGATACAACTTCTCAAAGTGCCTCTCTTGTCATTGTTACTTCCTAAGTGGGAGACTATTTCTTAGGAAGCAATCCAATGTGACGAGTACAGGTAGGAACATGTGATCATAAGCATAGAAAGAAGAAAAGTGGTTATACTGAATTAGATGACCATTAAACTATGACTTTCTTGAGATTGGGAACTGTGTCGTGTTCATTTCTGTGTTCTCCAGATACCAACTAGTTTTTGACACATATTAACTCAGAAAAATATCTGTTAACCAACTTGTAAACTCTGAGACAATGTGCCCAGAAAAATACGAAAAGAGAAGTTTTAGCATTTCAAATAAAATGCATGTATCATAATTATCTGATGAATTCCACGACATAGCTAAAATTGGACATAATCTGAAAAACTGTGAAAAGCAAAATGTTCATGTTTCAAGGATTATGAATAATTATATATTTCGAGTCCTTCCTCTGGCTCTGAAGTCAATTCCTAAAGGGCATGTAAGTTTTATTACAAAGGTGCTCATGTATGTACAAATGAAGACAGGATACCTCAGGGTGGGCAGGGCAGAAACTCAGGGCCAGCAAGAACTGACAGGCCATGGGCAAAATGATGGCCCTGAAGAAGATGAGTTTTGGACAAATAAAAGGAATTGCTGCTTTATATAGAAGTAAACATAGTTAACTCTTAAGAGCTGAAAATGAAAATTGCTTGAGGAAAGGTTTGGAAAAATTCACAACTGAGAGAGGAGCAAGAGGTCTTTGTGTACTTTGGATAAATTCATGATCTTCGGGGACTTTCTTTGTATACAGGATGCAACACATTTCCTTATAACGAGTCCCTTGCTAATTTTGCCAGACAGAACATTCTGCTGGAGGAACCACTGGCTGTCCCCTCCCCAGCCTTCTCATGGCCTGATTCATACAGGAGAGCTCTTTAAAAAAAAACAGTCTCTGGGAACTCATTTGCTAGAAATCATGCACCTATGAAAATAAAATCCTTCATTTTTACTCATTATTTTCCACATTCTCACCATTGTAAAACACCTGTACCCTCACACAACACAGGAAACTGAAATAGAACAGACACTATACAGGCTTGTTTACTTCTACATGTTCCATTTTTGCCAAAAGGGTTCCCGTGGGCATCATCGTGCCAACAGTGTGAATTCTTTTCTCAAGGCTGCACAGGCCTTCCTTCTGGCCTTTTGCCCAACCCCCTCCTAATTTACTCAGATGATGGCCACCAATGGGACACTTCCTTTGGCTGCGATGACAGATGGCAGAGCTTCCACCGGGATTGGCATTAATAGGACTCAGAGGAGCTTCCGAGACTGAATTGAGAGGCCATTCCTCTCTCACCTCCAGAGATTTAGTACATCGCATTTTCAATCCATCTATGCACTTACCTTACAGGTAAAGGGGAAGAGGGCAGAGAAGATCATTATACAGTTGCTTTTAGGGTTTACTTTTAGGAGGAGAACAATGAACTTGGGCTAAAAGTACCAGTGTGACTTAATCACTAACCATTTATTCCCTTTGTTACTGAAGCCCATATTCTAAGAAAAAATATATTTTAAAACACTCTTGGATAGAAATGATTTATTTTTATAAGCTGTAGCCCAGCTTATAAAATGAAAGCTCATACATACTGCAGCAAGCCATCTGTCAAGGGGGATCCAGATGAGCTAAACAGATGCAACAATTCAAGTTATTTCTGACATGCATAAATAAAACTAGCTTGGAATCAGGATTAAAAAAATACTCAAATCCTATATGCTTTTAAAATGTCAGTGGGAACTCATCAGTGTCATAACCCTCTACATACAGAATATTTCATTGGGAGAGAGAATTTTGCATTCTTAGCTTTCTCCTTTTTAAGGACTCAGGACAGCAGATAACAGTAGAAAACTCAGAATAGTGGGTAAGTGGCAAGAGGGCACCCTCTCAAGCTACCCAACATTTCTGAATTAAATAGGAAAGACAATCTCTGGCCAGATGAAAGGAAAAGCTTTAAGTAAAAAAACAGTGAAAGCTTACTGAATGCTTACTACATGGCAGGCAGCGTCATAAGTGCCTTACATATATTAATTTAATTCTCACAACAACCCTATGGGATAAGTATTATTACTGTGCCCATTAAATAGACGAGAAACTGAGTCTCTGAAGGGCTAAGGAACTCGATGAGGACCAGACCACCAGTAAGTAGCAAAGCTAGAGCCCATGTATCCAACCTCTTTGCTCCATTGCTTCAGTGTATGCTGGATGTCTTTTCTAAATCATAGGGACATGGTAGATTGGGGCCAAGTGGAGTCAACTTTTGACTCAGGAGACCTTTCACAGTCCTTGTCCAGGCTCTTCTAGTGCAGAACAAACAAAGCAGATAAAGCAAAAGAGGGAGCCGTCTGGGGTTCTACAGGTTCCCTTCCCATCCCTGGCTCCAGCTTCCTCTGTGGTCACTCAGACCAGCACCTTTCCCCAATCATAGTCTCCTCTGCTGGCCCCAGCTCTAAAATTTCAGCTCCTAGGAGGATTCTACCATGTGCCTTTCTCCCTGGTCATCCCACTGCTATTGAATTTGCATTCTACCCCTTGGCTTTTGATTTTAACAGTTGCATATGAAAACAAATTAAAGCTGAGATAAGAGGAATTCTAACTATAGAAAATGTCTCTCAGCAGCAGCATGTCTCAAAGAGCAGTCCTCTGCCAGCCAGCAGACGTATCACTTGCCATGCTTGACAGAAGGGTGGATTCCAAGTCTGCTGCATACCTCAGGCATCAGATTCTGGAGGTGTGGCTAATGCAGCTGTCTTTTAAATAAGTTCTCCAGGTGATTCCAATACACATTAACGTTTGTCATCCCCTGACGGATCTAGAGGGTTTTATGCTTAATAACCCCAGTGGTGACACTGTATTTAGTTATCAAGAAAAGCACTGAAGTCTCCATAAAAAAAGTACCAGGGCTCGGAGGAGCTGATCAGCAAGCTAGAATTTGTAGTTCACATGGAAATTTGTAGGCTGCTAACTATTGAGAATATTGAAATGCAGCATGTAGCACAGTATTTTGGAAATTTTACCTAGTTTTCCACAGAAACAATTGTCTTACAAATGTAGTCAGGTAAAGTAAAAAGCCCTTCACAGAAGACTAGATGCTACTCTGGGGTGGCCTCAGCAATCTCTTCAGCCAATTAACAAAACAGAGAGAGTAAAAGAAACAGAACAAAAGCAAGAGAGAAAAGCTCAGACTGCTTCAACCTCCAAACCTGTGCCATTTTCCCAGTTATTTTTATCATGGCTATGTGGATGCATGTGAACAAACTGGGTTTATCACAAATTGGATTTAATTTGTTTATGGTGGAACCCTTCACTCCAAAGTCCTCACCTACCCTATTTTAGCTTATTTTTTGAGACAGGATCTGGCTCTGTTGCCCAGGCTGGAGTGCAGTGGTGCCATCATGGCTCACTGCAGCCTTGACCTCCTGGGCTCAAGAAATCCTCCCACCTCAGCCTCCCAAGTGGCTAGGACCACAGGTGTGTGCCATCATGCCAAACTTCCTTCCTTCCTTCCTTCCTTTCTTCCTTCCTTCCCTCCCTCCTTCCTTTCTTCCCTCCCTCCTCTTTCTTCCTTTCTTTCTATTTTTTTTTAGAGATGAGTTTCCCTATGTTGCCCAGGGTGTCTCAAACCCCTGAGTTCAAGTGACCCTCCTGCCTTGGCCTCCCAAAGTGCCAGGACTATAGGTGTGAGCCACCACGTTCAGCCCCTTATTTTATTAATATTTTGAATTTAAGCTCCAGAATCCTCAAAAGCCTTTTTGGCAAGTCCAGACACCCAATTGTTTGCATGGCACATTTCAGGGAGATGCTCTGATCTCATCTGTCATCTCTCAATCAGAAAGGAGACATCCCCAATTATCAACATCACTTGGGGGAGCTTTCCCAAAGTTCGATTCTCTGGCCCTCACCCAGACCTACTGGATCAAAACATTAGTAATGAAACCCAACAATCTGTGTATTTATAAAGTTCCCTGATGACTTGGCCATCAGCATCATATGGCAAACACTGCACCAAAGCCTTAATTACAATACATTACCACCTTCGGGCAAACCAGATTAATATGTAGTCTCTGCTATAAAAGTTGAACTAGTCTTTCATCCTTTTAGGTTTTCAGAAAATAATTCTTGGTGGGAAGAGGGTTTTAGTTCAAATGGAAGTCATGTATCTGCTTCTATCTAAATGCACAGTAGGCTTTACCTCAAAGTTAATAACACTGAAGCTTTAGGGACTCTGCATGCATAGCCCCCTTCCGAGGCACTGAATATAATTTTGAGATGTAATTTTATATTCATCTTCTTAAACAGAGTATTCCACATTGTGTAAACTCTGGACACCACAAATCTGAAATCTGTACCATCTATAAATGACAATGTAAATGATAAAGTTATACAAAATAATCCTAAATTAAATATTTTTAGCAGCTCATTTTTTTTCTTACCAATGGGCTCTCCATTTTTTTTTCCTTTTTTAACCTGAAGTTCTGTACTTAAGCAGGATATTTTTGACAAGGCATTCTTATAGTCAGAGACAATATTAGTGTAATGATGGCCTGGGACAAGAGCTGGTAGCAAGAACAGATGGTCTACGCAAAAGCCCCCCCCAAAGGGATATGATGATGCCATGTGTGTGATAGCTGTTTTAGAAGTCCAAGAGGGTAGCATGCTGCAGAGATTAAGTGGGGACTCTGAAACCAGACTATGTGACCTGAACTCAAATTGATTGATTTACCCAGTGAATTTAATAGATGGGCCTCATTCATTTTGAATAGGAAAAGAAACCTGCTGCATCTTCCCTATTCATGAGCTCATTCTCCAATTTAGGAAGGTCGCCTCATGCTTAAAGCAAAAAACAGCCTCCTAGCTGGGAAGCAAAGGTTTATTGCAGTACTCAGATGTTAATGTTTTCTGGGCTCAGACTATTTTTATTTGGCAGCACAGACGGTAGTGTAAGCACAGATTTCTTCAGCAGATTTTATTATAGCAGGTGTGGGATCCTAGGCCATTGTCCTTAAAACAGACACACACTCATTACCTGCATTTGAACAGCTTTGGAACTAATGCCATCCTTTATCTGTGATCATTCAGCTGTCTGCTTCTTGTCATAAAGAAAGACAGATATAAAACGTAGCTCCGGGAAGCCCTTTTTAGATGAGAATGACTGATATGTCATGAAAGGATATTACAATAAATCATATTTTAGCCATTTCAAAAGCAGAAAATATCTGAAAATAAAATAATCTGAAGATCCACAAGAGAATCACTTAAGACAAACCTGAGCTTTGCCACAGAAGTAGGTTTTCAGAAAATCAAATGAGAAGTGGCCTAACTCCCTAAAGACATATGTTCTGATTGGGGCTCTAGGATACCATTGTTTTAATTTCAGCAACAAATGAAGAACAAGAGCATAAAGAATATAACATTGAAAATAGATACTGAGTTCTATGTGGTGAAAAACCCATCCAATGAACAAGATCAAGGTAGAGTGGCATATGGAGTATGGCAGAAATGACTCTCCACAGCAAAGATTTGTCTTCCCTCTTTGATAATCCTATACTAGAATACCAGATCTGACACCAGAAGTGGCTGCTCAGCTAAGGACTACATTTCCTTGCTCTCCCTGACTCTAAGTAGGGCTATGTACCAGTTATCATCAATGGAACATGAGGAAAGGTGACATATTTCTTTTCCAAGCCCAAGAGATTACGGAACAGACAAGCCTTCTTAATCACTTTCCCCATTCTCTGTATTTCCATCTGCCTGCTGGATGCTAACACTGAAATTGTCAAAGCCACCAGTAACTTAGGTCCCAGAATGATAGTACAGAGCCCCTTGTTGATCTGAAAACCACCTTGCACTGTTAAGTGAATGAGAAATAACATTGTATTTATGCCTCTCAAATATTATGGCTTGCTTTTTACAGCAACTAGCATTACCCTAACTAATGTACGAAGATAATCAAATTGTGTTCAAAGATATAACACACCTGTTATGTGAATACGATATTCCTCCTTGAAGATTTTCTGGAAGAAAGGAATCTTGAACTGCATGTGAGGGGTGTGCAAACCAGGGAGATTTACATCAACATCTCCCATGAAATGTGGGAATTCCCAGTCCTGTCAGAGAAAATCAAATAAAAACATTTGTGATTCGTTTCATTCCTAAGCAGCAAAACACCAAAAATTGACTTTTTATAAGCACTTATTTTAAAATCATTTAAATGCAGCCAGCTGTTGGATATATCAGTTTCATTCTGTGATGGTTATTTTATGTACATTAGGTAGCAGTATGCATTCAAAATCAAAATTAAGTCATAACTTATATCTTCAGATTTTCTTTTTAATGTGGTAATAAGAAACCAATACAGAATTGATTTGCATCTACACATGTTTATCTCTTTCATTCTGGAGAACTGCACTTAAATGTTTTTAGGAAGGAAGTGATCCCTATTTAATAAATATGGGGTAAATTTGTTATATTTTGTTTCATGACTTTTAAAAAGTATGAACCTTATAGCATGTTTTCTGTAAGAAGACAAAGTAAAGAGGATCTGATTCACTTAACCAAGTTCTTTGATTTGTATCAAGTGACTTTTATTAATCATGTCTACTGGCAACCATCCGGAATGTAAAAATGACAGGCTCCTGTCCTGCTCTCTTGCAATTCAGCATCAGTTTGAGCCAAATAATGGAAGACCTGACATGGTAGCATGAGGGATCAACAGTGAATTAATTCCATGTCATTAGATATTTCCTGGTTGTCAAGGCAAAACTGGGTGGGCCAACCCTCCTTCTCTGAAGGAAGGGAAACAGATGCAAATGAGGATATTTTTAGGTGTCTCACCTCCTCTTGGTTTTCAGATAGAGGCACCAAAGTAAAGTTCAAAACTAGCATGTGAAGAAAGAATACACAAAACTTGAAGAAACATTTGAGATAGATCCATAGACATTAGTATACACATTTTCACTTGTAACACCTAAATAATCACCAAATAATCAGTCCTATATTTAGTTAATATTCTTTAAAGAATTTGAATATGAAAAAGTCAGAAACAAAATATTAATTTGAGATTTTGATCTATTACATCAATATAAAGAAATTAAGTCTATTTGAGATTTTTATATATGCAGCTGAGAGGGATGTGCTAGTAATATAGTGCCTAAACTTTTTAGAGGTTTCCATGTCTATTCCACTGTCCTCTCTGTTGGGAGCTCTGGTTAAGAGAGAATGGGCCTTGAAGAAGACAATATGTGAGTGGCAATAACGAGGAAAGCCTGCAATGTCTACCAGTTTCCGGATCTATGGATCATTTCAAGCTGCTAAAAAGAAATAAATATACAAGAAGTAAAACAGAACGATGCAACATTATCCCTTTCTATCAGGGTACATGTAAATCTCTTGTTGGTCTCACCTCCACTTGTCTTTCAGACATCAGCAGCAAATAGACAGGTAATTTGGGAGGTTCATAAAACCCAACGCACTAGAGCTGAATTAATTTGGCACATTTTGATCTAAAATATTATGACTTAAGATGCATTAAAGGAGGTAGAAGATGCAGAAGATGCATCGGTGATAACACATGTGAACTATTGCTGAGGTTAACGTGCATTTGCCTTTTATTTTCCACTAATGCCACCTTTGTTCTTTCTATGTTGCTTGGAAGACGTTTGCAATAATAATAATAATAATGATAATAATAATAGACATTGAATTTAGTATTTTGCTAAAATATAACTCATGAAAAATTATGCTTGACAAAGAAAATGACTGATAACCAGAATACCTTTCACTTGCCCTGCATAAATGACACGAAGCATTATCAATAGCGCACTTCTCTTTTTATTTCTGGGTTTAAGGAGGAGAAGATTTCTTGGTAGTAATTGGGCAAGTGTATTCAGAACCGGCTTCTTTTTAGAACGACACTTTTGAATGCTCCCATTTAGCTTTTCCTTCAATGAAACTAAAGTTTTCTATTGGGTATGAAATTGGTTTTAGTTTGAAAGCAATCTCTAGAGATTTCTTGTAGACTATGATAAAAATCTCATACACACACATACACACACACACACACACACACACACACACACACACACAAATAGTTCCTTGATTATTTCCCACCTGTACTTTCACAGAGAAAGATAAGTTACGGAAATGAAGGGTAAAGGAAAGAGGGGGAAGAACAAGTCTTAGTTTTTATCTGGAAGATTACTTTACTTTTTTGTATTTTTTTAAAGAAAGGGCTCAGAGAAGGTAGTTTGGGCCTGGGGGTGTGAAGTGTGACAGAAGCAGGTGGTGCCATGTAAGAATTTTTTAAAAGAAGATAAATAAAATAGATGATGACTCATTCATAAAGTCTTTCATATCCATCCTTTCTATTTTACTTTTTATAATCAAGATTTTGTTTTTCCAAACCTCTTTTACTTAATCTCTTAAAGCCTTGCCTCCATTCTCTCTCTCTACTACTCTGATTTTTACATTTCAATTCCTACTCTAGATACCTCTTCAGACTCATCATTCTCGAGTGAGTGTAAACTCTGGCCTAATTTGACTTGGAGCAGAAAAGTAATAATGATAATTGCTAATGTTTTGCAGAACATGTGGTGCTCATTTAATAGAAAATGGACATCCTGGCCAGGCGTGTTGGCTCACCCTGGTAATCCCAGCACTTTGGGAGACAGAGGTGGGCAGATTACCTGAGATCAGGAGTTTGAGACCAGCCTGGCTAACATGGTGAAACCCCATCTCTACCAAAAATACAAAAATTAGCCAGGTGTGGAGGCATGTGCCTAAAATCCCAGCTACTCTGGAGGCTGAGGCAGGAGAATTGCTTGAACCCGGGAGACGGAGGTTGTAGTGAGCCGAGATCGCACCACTGTACTCCAGCCTGGGTGACAGAGCGAGACTCCATCTCAAAAAAAAAAAAAAAAAAAAAAAAAAAAGGAAATGGACATCCTAGGCTGGTGAAACCTCAGGTATTTAAAGGAGGTAGAAAGCAGAGAGATTTGGGACGGTATTCTGAATCTATCTAGGTTCCAGTCTCTTCATCTATAAATTGGTGTTAAATATGTCAGCCTCACAAGCTCCCTGGGAGGATGAGATAACATTAGCACATTACTGGAGACAGAGGTGAAAGACAGGTGAATGTCCAACAAAAATGGTTTATTTCCTGGCATAATTTCAAGGTCAAGTTTATCCTGACAGTGAAGCAAAGGAAGTGGATAGGTATGTTTCCAGGAGGGTCACACATTGGCTGTTTCAAGGTCCAGGAGAAAAAGGAAGAAAGTCGTGTTCTCCTTTCTGCCCTTATCCATTGCAGAGCACTGGCCCCCTGGGGCCTTTGCCCAGGACTTGGGCCAGAGCACAGTCCTCCCAGAGGGCACCTGGAACAGGGCTGTTGAGAAGGGCACCTCCCTCAGAGACATGTAACCATTAGTTTCATGAAGACAGAAGAACAGGAGCTTACTGGTTTCTTGTGCAATGTGGGTCACACTGTGTGTGAAAGACTTTAAGTGTGAGGGAGACACTGCTGCTATGCAGGTGGGAGGGAGAGTCAGCAACATGTGTAACTGATGGCAGAGGAAATCTGTGGACATTTGGGTTATAAATTATGGAGCACCTGCAACGTTCTATTATAATCCTAGGCTGTATATTCCTGTATATACTTATATACAAAACCATCCTAGTTGCTATTATTAGCCCATTTTTTACTGAAGTATAATTGACAAATAAAAATTACATATATTTAAGATCACAATGTGATGTCTTGATATATGCATACATTATAAAATGATAACCACAATCAAGCTAATTAACACGTCCACCTGCAGATGTGAACATCTGCCTCAGGAAAGTTGTCACTTGTCCAAAGTGACATAGGTGCCATGCAGCAGAGCTGAGGTTTTATCTGGCTCCAAAGAATACATACTTTCTGCTAGGTCATGCTGCCTTTAACTATGGAAAGTGACATCATTTCCTGCTTTTAATTAAGAACTGGAATTATTTTTACCTGCTCTATGTTTTCTAATTGAGAATCACTGAAGGCAGTCATCACCAAAAGCCAGTTCCATGAGAGGCTTTAAACTATTTTCTTTCTTTCTTTTGTTTTTTTTTTTTTCATCACAGGGATGTCATTTGATTCATACTATCCGGATGTAAACAAGAAGACCAACTTTAACATTTTCTTCAAAAAACAACTGCCCCAGGGATAGTTGGCTTCTAATCAGACTCTGATGAGTGGAGAGATTTGACTAATGGGTGATTCATAGCAAACACTGAGATTCTCCTGGCATCATAACTATGGATGTATAGCCAGTTTTATATACAGATTGTATAGAAGTGTTATGAGAGTCATGGCTTTCTTTCCTTCTACATAAATGTAAAATATATATTTTGAACACAAGATAAAAATGTTGAATTAAGGGAATGACGAGGCAAGAGGTGTTCAGCTACAAAGCCCATGGTAGAGAGGCTAATCCTGGGATTGTATATTATGAAATATTCATTTATTTTGTTCTTTAAGAAGTGTTATCAGTGTTTAGTAATTCAAAGCTTTCTTATCGTTCTCTGCTATTAAATCTTACAATAACTGCAGAGGTCTATCAGATTTGTGGTTCAGTGATGTGAGAATTACTTAGGCACAAGGTATTACGCTACTCCAATTCTCATCAGTTCAAGGTAATGTTCACAGTGTGAACAGACTCCCAACTTTGCATCTTGCTTCATATATGACAAACAGTTAATTTTTATTCATATGGGTGTATTTCCCATATAAAAATAAAAGGACAGTGTCATGACATATATCTAATCTTATTTTTTACATATATGGATGGTTTACTTTTGCCTATGCAATGAAAATCAGTTACTGATCCCTATTATTCATGAGCCACAATAGACACAAAATTTCAGTTCACTGTTAAATATGTAGGCAAGATCGTCTCAGGATATCTTGGATTCATAATTTCCCTATGTTTTCTCATTGAGACCCATGCCTCAGGGTCAAGGAAAATAATTTGGTACTATTCAGGGAAACTCAAACTTGAAACCAACACTGTTTTGAATTCCCTGACTGGCATTCAATTTCCCAAATTAAATGAAGAGACCTCACTTCTATTTAGAGAAGTGTTAGAGGATAAAAATGTAATGATACTGATTACCCTACCCTGCGAAACTAAAGCCATAGTATCAGAACAAAAGTTGCATTTTCTAGGCTAAAAATTAGCCACCTGATTTATGAGGAAATTAAGAGATAGATTAGATTAGATTTTAGTGAAAAGCTATAAATTCTTAAATGTTACTATAAAATACCAACAGTTTTTCAATGTAATAATTTGTATATCTTCTTTTTATAGGCATTAGATTATTAAGCTTGAATGATATCAAAAGTCAACTTTACAGATATATTTATTTCTTTCTATGTTAATCTCTATGCCCCGTATTTCATAACTGAATTTAGATCTATGAATATCATAACATCATTCTACCAAAAACTTCCCCAGCTTGTAAAGTGTCCTTAGCTTTGCTATGCTTAGCAGTGTCCTAGCAACCGAATTTCAGATGACAGTGAGCAGTGGTGGCCTGAAGAATTGTACTCAGGCTTTGGGTGATATTTTTGTTTCTTATTAAGAAACCTGAGTGCCTGATTTCTTTCAGCAACACTGTACTTCTTCTAATTGGCAAAGTTGTCCTAGTATCACTTGGCCGAATAAATCCTTGGAAACCTTGACATACAGTAGATTTTGCTTATTTATTTGTTTATTAATGTAAGCTCCAGGGAGCTTAGAGGAATTTCTTTCTGTTTTGTTCACTGCTGAATTTTCTATGGCTGAAATAATGCTCAGTATATAGTAAGAACTCAAATATTTGTTGAATTGATGAATGGAGCTCTCTGAAGGTTAAAGATATATAACAATCCCCACCTGTAATCCCAGCACTTTGGGAGGCCAAGGCGGGCGGATCACTTGAGTTCAGGAGTTCGAGACCACCCTGGCCAATGTGACAGAAATCCGTCTCTACTAAAAATACAAAAATTAGCCAGGCATGGTGGCTCATGCCTGTAGTCCCAGCTACTGGGGAGGCGGAGGTAGAAGAATCACTTGAACCCAGGAGGCGGAGGTTGCAGTCAGCCGAGATTGCACTACTGCATTCCAGCCTGTCCAGCCTGGGCGACACAGTGAGACTCCGTCTCAAAAAAAAAAAAAAAAAAAAAGAATCTCTGTGGTTTCACATAAATGGAAACACAGGATGGATATAAGTAAACAGAAACAACACAATAAATACTTGTTTTTGTAAATAAACGTTATACATCATCTTACATTAATTATTATTAAAAATTGGTTGTCTTATTTTTTTCCCTATAAACTAGGTGTACTGGAATTATACAGAGAGTGAAACAAAGATTGAGCCATTTGTCATTGATCACAGAGGAAAGGAGTGGACAATTAGAGAGAGTGGAAGTCATTGTAAATATTGTGAGAAGAGGCAGTAAATGTTTGGAGAGTTGATTAAAAATGTTTGTTGGGTTGAACCAAGTCACCCTTTTAGTCATCATGTAAATACAAAGAAGTTCATGAGACATGTCTAACCAAGTGAGAGAACAAGGAAAGAGAATGTAAACCAACATGTGATTTTAAAGGTTGGGGGATCATTTCACATAGCGGATGACAGCAGGAGGAGCATTAAGGCAAGGTTGAATGTTAAGAGATGCCCTGCCATAAATTTGAAGGATGAACAATAGAGACATTGCAGGAGGTTACTTCCTAGATGTCCTTTGACAACTCCCCTTTTCTCTTATGTTGTATTCTCACTTTCTCTTAATATTCACTGTTGTTTTTCCCTTCAAGGGCAAATTAATTCTATAACTCTTTGGAGTTTTCTCTCAGGAGGAACTTATGCTATTTAAAGAATTTAAAATCTGTGGAGAAAAATCTAGACTTTCTGGTTCAAGTAGGCTTTTTTCAACAAGTAGTAAAGATGGCATACCTCATTCATCACTAAAACAGATCCAAGTCAAACTGTAAACCCTTATTTGAAATGTTGTTAAAAACTTCACTTTTTTATGTGCTTTTGTGTATTCTAATACAGCAATGAACTCTCAAAATTGTTGTTGCTCAAGCAATTTAATTATCCTAAGGATCTATTTTATAGGATTGTTTAATATCTTTTATTCATCAATCATTTTTCTTACTTGCAAAGGCCAATATGAATTTTCCTGGAAAATTCTGAAGTCAACATATATAAATGAAATATAAGTAATAGTTTAGTGCCTATAGAAAAAGCAAATAAGTCAAGCCCAGAAGAGGCCTGAAAAGTAAGTATATAGTCTGTTACTTTTCAGAGGCCTTGCCTTGAGGCTTTGGCAAGATAGCAGCGGGTTTTTAAAACAAACTTCATTACACCTAGACACCTTGAAAACATCATTCCTTTAAGTGTCAAGGTAGAAATGTGTCTGATGAAACGCACTGGGCCTCATTTAAAGACATCTTGCCCTGGCAGACTGATGTGATGAAGGACAAAATATAAGTCAGTCTTATAAGTGTTTACAACGAATAGAAATGCATCATGTGGCATCTAGGAATAATGGAAAATCAGTACTCCTTCACTAGGCAAATATAGTTAACCAGTACACAGGAAAGAGTGCTTAACATCTTAAAGACACCAATAAAAGGGGAAAGAGGGTACAAATAACTAGCTCTGAAGAGTTGCTGATAACTAAAGTTAGTGCAAAGTCTAAAGAAACACACTCAATGATAAGTCATCTTAGATCATCTTCATCAGTTATCAAACAACTTGATCTAGTGGGCAGTTCTTAAGAAGAATGAAAGTTAACTATATAAATTGGCATATTTCTTACTCAAATGCATGTTCCTCCAATAAGGAATGAATGAAATCTAGTGGAACAAAGTTATTAGACAACATATTTGTGTTCTTGTTCAGGCTCTGGCTACAGTTCAATAGCACATAGCTCCTACTTATTTGGTGCTTTATTATATTTGCATATTTGGTACAAAATGTCACTGCTCCAGTATCTGTTCTGGCTCCGCACATGCTGCCAGGAATGGTCACATTCAATTGTCTGAATGACTAATTTCTCCTATGGGCTATATAGGAAAATTAATTGCATACTGTCAAAAGTAGGTATTATTGTCCTTGGTAACATTTTTATTTAATATTGAGGTCATTTTTCTCCATGAAAAAATAATGATGATGGAGATCAGTGGGAAAATGTGATTCAGTATAAAAATATTCACTTTACAAATAATGGAGAGAGTACAAGGTTGATCTAAATATTAGATGGTGGGTAGAGGTGAATGACCTCCAGAGTTCTTCACAATGGTTTCAGTTCTATGATTATATGTTTTTTCTGGAATGTCTTATGGAGGATATATTCTATTTGGGGAGACAGACCAAACAGAAAATAGCAAGATAATGTGAAGTCAAATAGTGATAAGTGCTCTGAAGCAAATAAAGCAGAGAAGGGGGATGGAGAATAGTGAGTTGGGTGTGGCTTCTATTTTAATTATTAAAAAGAAAACTTCTCTGAAGATGACCTTTGTGTGGAGTACTGATTGATATGAAAGAGGAAGCCCTGAGAAGCTCTGGAGGAGGATCATATCAGCTAGAGGAAAGAGCAAGTACAAAGGCCCTGAGGAGGAAATGAGATGATTGTATTGAAGAAACAGCAAGGTAACAATGGTCACGGGAGCGTGAGAGATGTGGACAGTTATAAACTGACTGTAGGAGGGGTAAAAATCTATTAGGAGACTGTTGCAGTAGTTTAGGTGTGAAATGACAGCCATTTAAATAAGGGTGGCCAGGTGGTCGGATCAAGGTGTATTTTGAAGGCATCACCAACTGAATTTCTGAATGGCTGGAGCAACTGGTAAATGGTAATAGCATTTGCTGAGAAGGGAGACATTGGGGAACCAATACACTTGCAGAAAATAGAGAAGTGGGTAAGAAATCCAGAGAGCTCAGTATATGCTAATATGGCAGGGCTTATTAGATATCCAAGTGGAGGTATATTATGTAGGCAGTTGGGAATCTTTGGGGAGAGCACAAGGCTGGAGATACAGATGTGGACTCACCAGTCTATTGATCTAAGGCCACAGAATCGGATAAAATCATTTAGAAAGGGAGCATAGAAAGCCAAGAAAAGAGGCCAGGGACTGACTGAGGCACTCCCTCATTTATAAGCTGGAAGAGAATCCCATAAAGAAGACTGAAAAGAAATGGCATGCAATAGAAGAAGAACAAGAGAAAGTGGTGTCCTAGAAGCCAGGTAAAAAAGTGTTTCACAAGGGAAGGCATGATCAACTTGTGTCTAATGCCCCTGAAGGTTTAAGTAATAAAAAGACTGAATATTAACCATCAGATTTGGCAATATGGGGGTTGTTGATATTGATAAGACCTTTGAGCTCCTGAGGAAGCCGACATTGGGGACAAAGGCCTGATTAGAGTTGGTTCAAGAGAAAATGGGAGGTGAGAAGTAGAGGAAATAAATACAGAACTCTAATGAGGAGCTTTGCTGTTAGTTGAAGTAGGGTGAAGAGGCAGTAACTGGAGAGAGACTATGATTAGATTAGTTTCAAATAATTTTGTTAGCATAAAATAAGTTGAATTTTGGTAGAACAGAGGACTCTGACATGTGAGATTCCCTTTTAATATTTTCAGTAGTTTTTGCAAGGGCAAATGTTAAAAGCCAGTGTGCACCAATATGGATACACTGGTTGTTTACAGCTGGTGTCCATTCTGATTGGGCAGTATCTATTCTCTTTGGTCAGTACCACTGCTGTACCAGTAGTTAAATATTCTGACCAACACTCTTTGTGAAGTCAAGATGGCTGTTCTTCTAAAAAACAAAACAAAACTGGGTTAAGTTCACTGTGTCTTGAATGTAGCAGGCTTTTGGAAACAATAGGCTGGATCCTCACTGCTTTGTACCCAGTGTGGTTTCTTTCTGGTTTCATCTTTTTTAGTAAAGACTTCAGGTTCTGAAACAACCTCCATCTCTGACCCCTTTGGACCACCCAATGATAATATGTAACAGAAAGTAAAACCTTTAGAGCAATGGATTTGAACTGGCAGGCTTTCCATGCCTTTCTTCAATGAGGGTTAGGTCAAGAGCATTCATCCTCTGAGCTCTAGAGAAAAATTATCCATCCTCATGTAAGAGAGGAAAGACTAGGAAAACAAGATACACTGGAGCAGGTTAGAGGGAAGGAAAGAATAAAATACATTTTGCTGTTGGAGAATTATTTCCTCAGTGAATTGAAAAATTTTCTGAAACTATTGTTAGTCCAGAGGTCAATGGCCAAGAAAAGTCTAAAATACATTACTTTCCTTGTTGGACACCTATGGGAGAGAGATTCTATCATCCTCAGGGTCTTTTTGGAAAACAAGTCCACATGCTGGGGTAAAGAACCTTACATGTTTGTTAGCAGTTGCCTATCTTTATACCGACACAATCCATTCAAAGCCTGAGGTGGCTACAGCAAATATGTTTTATAGATTCCACATAGCATGAATAGAGTGAATGTGACGTCTACATTTCTCACAGAAGTTCCCAATGATACACTCAAGTTCCCCATAGGAGGGCATCACACTATTATTGAACTAATTCAACAGTTACTCAATGCTCACTAGATGAAAAACATCTATTCTCAAAGAATATAAAATAACATTGATAAATAAAGAATCAAATTAAACTCTTCCTTTTATAGTTACAGACAATGACAGTCAGTGAGGTTACAGGAATCCTCCCATATCATCCAAAAGATTACTGGTAGAGACCAGATGAAATTCAATCAGTAGCCCCTGAACTATATTCCAATACATTTCCCTCCACATTACTGAGGACTCTTCACAGCACACCAACATGGCACATGTATACATATGTAACAAACCTGCACGTTCTGCACATGTACCCTAGAACTTAAAGTATAATAATAATAATAATAATAAAAGAAAATCCTTTATAGGAGATTGACTGTATTTTCATATTCAATTCAGACTAAGCAAACAAACATTTGTCATGAATTTTCTCTGTGCCAGGCATTTGATATATTTAGTCTATTGTAAACCACACGCAAATATATATGGTAGGTAGGATTTTTCTTAATTTACATGGAAGTAAACTGAGGCTCACAGAGCAGTTAAATAGCTTGTCCAATGCTGCACAATTGATACCAAAAGGATTTGTACCCAGGACAGTCTGATTGAAAAGACTTCTTTTGTTTACCATAGTAAGATTTTTCATGACATTTTCCCCCATCAGGCCTAATATTGCAATTATCTACCCACTTTAAGCCCAACTATCATGCCGATATGCCCTTCTGTTTGATGCTAAATTATATCTGTAATGAAAGGTTGACTTTCAGTGGTATGTTGCAGCTGATCTTGAAATAATATTTTCTTAGGATTTTTTGCTACCTGGAGCACCTGGGGAGGGAATCCTGTCTAACACACATTGCAAAGTGAAGGAATGGAAGTGGTCCTATGTTTATCCTGCAAGTCATTGACAAAGCCTACAAAATATGCAGGCTGAGATATGCATTTAACTGTAGATGGTTTATGGCCATCTTAGAATTTTTACTGCCAATGCATAGATTTGGCTCTAAACTTATCATATTTCTAGTAATGAATACTATCTCCCTAACTTCTTTGCACTTCGCTTTTCTCACCTGAGGAGATTTTTCATCATGTGTAGGTACTCTGATATCAGATTCCTATATCACTGCATGGAAAAACAGAATGGCTTTTGAGATGATTTAGAGCCCACTAGTGATGGCTATCACTTCACAGCTTGCTAAAAAGACACAGCTTTTATGTTTCTTAGGAACTTATGTGATGGTTAAGATTTGTACTCCCAACATACTGCGGCTGTGCATATCATTAAATGGTAAAACTTTTATGTTACGTATATGACTTAAGGCAGTGCAAAAACACAAGAAGATCTATATGGGTAACAATAACATTTTTTGGCATAGAAACCTAACAAACTATTTTATCTTAAGTCTTCCTTGTTTGTATATCAATGGAGTGTTTAAGTTACTGTGTTACAAGAAGCCCTTCACTTAAAGGATTAATTCTTTTTGCTCATAATTATGATCAGAAGATGACACATTGCCTATAAATATAAAAATCATTAATCATTTTATTAAATATCCTTCTTTATATTTGATTTTAAATAGAATTGTCAATGTAACCTACATTAAAAACTAATCTGTAATGTTATTGTGAGGTTGAAGCTTCATATAATATCTCTGCAATATATCATATTTCTAATGAAATGTGTCATATTTAAAAGTATTACAAATTATATCCTTAGGCATATGTGGAAACAAAGTAACAGTGGAGTTCTGAAGGTGGTAAAAATTATCAGAAAATAATTTTATGCTACCTCAGTATAATATCTCATAAAATTTTTACTCATAAAAATTGGTAAACCCATGGTTCTGAAAATGGACTTTTAATGCACAGAGAGACTATATGGAAGCAATCGTAAAAACTAAACATAAAACATACAGTTTTGCCTTCAAGCAATGGATTGTACTTGGTGAACCATAGGTAAATGTGAAATTATTACATTTGCCAGTTGCCAAAGGCTTTGCTTTATGGATATCTGCAATGTTATATGCATAAATCAATTAATATGTTTTTCCCCATATAAACCCAGATACACTTGATTTATTGCCTCTTGCTGGAGGAGAAGCTGGCAAATCAGCATCATTATGAAATTGTTTAGGTGACAGACTATTCAGAAATCAGTTCTCTGAAGAAGGTTCCAAATTATTTTACAAATATATGATTTGTTGACTGCTCTCTGCCCCTAATTCCCAACTCAGAGATTCCTGGACTTTTAATACTATATATATCTTCAAATGAAAAATTCACTCTAACAACTACACACTCAAAACAAATACCTCAACTAATCATTTATCATCTGCCTTTCAATTAGCCTTAGCCTGAAATGGAGAGCTCTTCAAATCTCTTCTTTTAGAACAAAACATAGGAAGAACATTTGGGTGTTTTAATGTAAATACCTGCAAGGTATGCTAATTAACTCAGAATCAGTGAAAGATTTTTTTCAATTTTACTTCCTAAGCCTCAATTATATACAATGAGAAAGAATAATTATCATAATTAATGATTTTTCTTTTTCAAGTCAGTAGTTTATGATTAATCATGCCCTGACAATTATATATTATGATCAATTGGTTGCTCATGCAATAATCTAAAATAAAGAGATGTCCTTTAAAGTTACTTAAATGAAAGGAAATACATCTTCCTTTACTAATATGATTAAATATTTTGCTTGCCACCCTTCTAGCTGGGTACTGTAATTGATGCACTGTTCTAACAATGACCACTATTCAATGATCTCCCACATGTAGTAGATTCTGTACTAGGTGCAGCCTTTTACATATATTTCTTTGTTCTATTTTAAAAATGATACTACATGGCAGGTTTTATTTTTCTCATTTTGCAATTGGAGACACTGTGGCTCACAGAAGGCACCTGCCTTACCCACTGTAATACAGCTATAAATAGAAGAGTAAAAGCCAAACCTAGGTCTGTCCAGTCCCATGAGTGTTTTTGCATGATGGCAAGTAATTCAGCTTGTCCTGGCTCTAAATGACCTTACATTACTGTCTTGGTCTAACCATTGTTTCGTTTGTGTCTCTCATTAAACCACAGCTGGGTGTGGTGGCATGCACCTGTAGTTCCAGCTACTCGGGAGGCTGAGGATGGAGAATCACTTGAACCTGGGAGGCAGAGGTTGTAGTGAGCCGAGATCGCACCGCTGCACTCCAGCCTGGGTAACAGAGGGAGACTCCATCTCAAAACAAGCAACCAACCAAAAAAATAAAAAAAAAAAAGAAAAGGAAAGAAAAAAAGAAAAAGAAGCTGCCAAATTGTGTAGAGATGTTTGCCCACAGTTGTGTAGAGATAAAGTCTTCAGATTGCTCTTCTGGTTTAGTCCTTGTCACTTCTCTTTACTCTAACTATCTTTGATTTCCAACCATTATTTTTCATTGAAAATAGATCTTGCCTTTACCATCACAATTCTAAGCTAACACTTGTTTTGCTATCCTAGTTAACAACTAATCTCTTTCCTTTGCTTTTTTTTTTTAATTATTTTGTCTTTTATTTGTGCCATCACCTTTTATTTGCTAAATATTTGCACATTCAAGAACTGTTTGTGTCAGTCCCCCTACTAAGCCTTGATACAGCAATGAATCAGGTAGAAATGGCTCTAGGCTCTGTCCTCATGGGGTTTATAGTTTGAATATGGCATAACTACATACACAGAATAATTTCAGAAAATATTAGTGCTAGAGAGAAAATAAACCACGATAAGGATTGGGAGAAGCTACGTTAGATAGGGTAAGAAAAGACCTCTATGAGGTAAGAGCCTCTGCAGGGAAAGGGTACCAGGTGCTGTGATATGAGCTATGGTTGCAACCAGGACCAAAACAGATGGACAGAGGTTTACCATCAGGTCTGGTGGGAGTGACAGGTAAAAGAATGAGTAAAGAGCCAAATACGTGGTGATATGTTTTGCAAAGGAAATAAACTAGGGATTGAGAAAAGAAATAACAGAGGGCACCCTGCGAGGCATCTTGGAAGAAAGGACACCTAAGCTGGGGGATGAGGATGAGAATGATCTAGCCCTTGAAAAAGTAGAGAATATTGAGCAAAGCAAGTGCTCAATTACCTACTTCATGCCAGTGCTCTGCTAGATCTTAGAAATACAATGGTGAATGAAAACCCATGTGCACTCTGACTTTTTAGAGCACAGTCTAGAAAGGGAGTTGAACACTAATCAAACAATGATGGAAATAGACCTTAGTACTTCTCAGTTAACCTGTATGGCCATGCCTATCTATCACTCCCCTATCACAATGGCACAATTTTTTTTTGTGTATGTAACTCTTCTTGACTATTTTCCTAGTACCAGCACCAAAGAATCTTCTATTACAGCGTCACAACAGACTACCGTGTGGTGTTCATTAACTTCACATTTATGTATTAATTATACACTCCTTGAAGGTACACTTCTTTATGTCTCTCTCAGTCCTTAGCACAATAGTAGATGCGCGGTGGGAAGTAAAAACCATTTGGTTGTTTGATTATTCACCAATATTTAATAAGTGTTTACCATGTGCCAGAAACTGTGCAAGGCCTTGGAATACCAAAGACATCAATCAAAATTCTTGCCTCCAAGAAAGCTCATCCTCTAGTAGAAGAGGCAAACAAGTTAAACAATACTTACAGGATAATATGGAAGCATTGTATTAGTAATAGAGTCTTGAAAGAAGTTCCCTATGGACCCATTGGGGAATACATTCCTCATTCAAGCTCTGAGAGAATGAGTAAATTAACCAATCATTCTCTATCTTCCATTTTCTTGGTGACCACAGGTTGTTGAGAGTATGTAGCTCATCACTGTATTACAGGAGTAGGATGTAGCTGTATAAATTGCTCATCTTTGCTATAATTTGAAAACAAATTATAGCGTGGAGTTTTTAGTTTTAAACAGAGACCAAATGAACTTTTCTCAGTGGGTAGCTTTAATTTATCTAACTTTAGATTAATTGTCTTTTAGAGTCTGTGAAAAAATGTCTTTCTTATAATACTTTAAGTCCATTTTTCCCAAGACAGACCCTGCTTGTTAGACTGTGTGGTGAAATAGAAAATGCAATCTCTAGCACTGCTTCAATGCTCAGTTCATATCTTTGAACACTATTGCTAAAGCCATAAAAATGAGAATGGTTTGCAAAATTTCTGTCAGCTAGTAGAAATGTTTTGGTGTCCCATGTTAACTTCAGTCAATTTGCAACATTACTTAAAACCATACAATAGATAAAAAGGGGTATGTGACTTCAGATCAGCAAGAATATTATTGAGAACAGTGATTAAAACAAGATTCTCAAGTCCATGGTTAAGGCTGTATGCCTCATTCATATCTAAGCTAGTTTTGACTTCATATTCTCGACATCATTTAGATTGATTGCCATTTGGAAAAACACTGGCCTGACAGTTTCCTTGGTCAGTATTTACCTTACACATCAATATGTTTTTAATGTGTTTTAAATGTTTTTAAAAGCCAGTATTTTTAATCTTTGACTTTTTTTTTTTTTTTGAGACAGAGTCTCACTTTGTCACCCAGGCTGGAGTGCAGTGGTGTGATCTCGACTCACTGCAACCTTCACCCCTGGAGTTCAGGCAATTCTCCTGCCTCAGCCTCCCGAGTAGCTGGGACTACACCACCACACCCGGCTAATTTTTGTATTTTTAGCAGAGATGGGGCTTCACTATGTTGGCTGGTCTAAAATGCCTGACTTCAGGTGATCCTTCCACCTCGGCCTCCCAAAGTTCTGGGATTACAGGCATGAGCCACTGCGCCCGACCTAATCTTTGACTCTTGAGGTAATCACTTTGGTACATGATACCATGTAACAACCTGTCACCAAAAACAGTAATACACACATGTCATTTTCTCCAGTGCTTCCATAATTAATAAGAAAAATTTACAATTATATTTACTTTCTTAAAATGGGGCTTTAGGTATTAGTATACACACATACACACTTTCCTAATTATTTTCATAGAACATTTGACCATGTAAATTAAAATTAAGAAGAATACAGAGAAATTACATGTTCCAGTCAAGTAAATCTACTTTTAAAAAACAGGTACAAATTTATGTTTTCTTTGAGATTCAACTTTTTATTTTTAATCTGGTTTCATACTACCAAAGAAATTGAATTGAATGATGATGTGATAAAAATAAAATCAAACTACTTGTTTGTGCACAGACAAAAATAATTGCTAACATTTTTACTTTTAAAATAGCTGCCTTGGAAACTTGTAAACATAGTTTGTAACGTGTAAATATAGTTGGTTTTTAGTAATTTTCTTATTCCTTTTTTTCACTTACATGTTAATTTGAGAGTATGTTTATGCAGTCATGTTTAAATGTACTTACATATCCATATTAATCTGGTAATTCTATTCCCGGAAATTTTCTCTGCTAAGGAAATAATTAAAAACATAAAAGATCCATATGCATAAAGATAGATTTTCAATCTATTGTTATTTATTATGGTGAAAATGTGGAAACTGCCTTTTGGTAGAAAAGAGTAAAACAAATTATGGTTTATAATTCCATGGAAAATTATACGGCTACTCAGAATTATAAGTATGCAAACTTTATGATATATAATTAAGTGAAAAATACATAATACAAAATTGAATATATGGTATAATTTTATGTGGAAAATCACAGATGCACAGTAAAAGCAAAACAAAAAGACATAAGGTAATATATCAAATTAGTTTTATTATTGTAGTAAAATTATAGATGGTTTTAAAATAATCTTGCTTTTCAAATTTTGAAAGTATTTGTATATTATTTTAATTTTGTGCACACATATATATATATACACACTCTAGACACTTTGTTATTTTCTCACAGCAATTCTTTTACTTTTTTTTTTTGCCTTAAATCTCCCTTTAATTCCAACATAGTCAATATCTTCCTTTAAACTCTAACCTTATATCCTCTTATAAATCTTGCTTTCATTCCATCTTGCTTTTATTTACTTTTGGTTGGAGAAATTCCTTTTCAGCTCTGGGTTCAAAGGGGATATAATATCACCTGCCTTCTTTCAATGTCTCCAGAGTGCTGTGAGATTTAATGGGATAATGTCCACACAGCACTTTATGCTCCTTAGAGAAAGGTGCTATATAAAAACAATGCATCATAATTATATATGTTATTACGAAACCCACAGAGATATTACAGCTACAATTTAGCACAAGTAGATGGGTTGGACTAACTCCTAGTTAGTTGCAGGCTGGGCCATGTCCCTTTACACCAAACTCCCAGGAGTGGGAGGAGGTTGCTGCTTCTCCCTCCTGGCACTTGAAGTACCAAAAATGCAAAGCCTCAGCTCTTCTCAATGTTACAAACAGAACATTTCAGTTTTCATGTACCATCTTTAAAAAAATCATAGTATGTCATTTATGTTTACTTGATATTCTCATTTTCATTCTCTCCCCCTTCCCTGGCTTGGTTCCAACTGAATACATTTCCAATCTATTTATGGAAGATAAACTTACAGAGCCAGGGTTAAAGGCAGATATCACTGACTACTGGAAATTATCAGGTGACATGAGGGATTGTGTATTAATGAAGAATAACACAATCTCTGAGTAGAATTAGAGGTCATTTAGCATAGCCAACAACTACCTGATGTACATCACCTATCCATTTGTTCACAAGTGGCCAACCATCCTCTGAGAATTTCTAATTAAAGAATACTTGCTACTTCTTTATTTCATTTTTTTCAATTTTATTTTATTTCATTTTAAAATTAATTTCAACTTTTATATTCATGGGTTATATATACAGGTTCATTACCTGGATATATTGTGTGATGCTAGGTTTGTGGTATGATTGATCCTGTCACCATAGTACTGAGCATAGTGCCCAATAGTTAGTTTTTCAACCTTTGACTGCCTCCCTCCCTCCCTGCCTCTAGGAATCCACAGTGTCTTTTGTTGCTTTATGTCCCTGTTTATCCACTGTTTAGCTCCCACTTATAAGTGACAACATGTGGTATTTGGTTTCCTGTTCCTGTGTTAATTCACTTAGGATAATGGCCTCCAGTGGCATCCATTTGCTGAAAAGGACATGGTTTTGTTCTTTGTTATGGCTGCATAGTATTCCATGGTGTAAATGTACCACATTTTCTTTATCCTATCCACCACTGATGGGCACCTAGGTTGATTCCATGTCTTTGCTATTGTGAATAGTGCTGTGATGAACATATGGATGCATGTGTCTTTCTGGAAGAACAATTTACTTTATTTTGAATATACACACCCAGTAATGGAATTTCTGGGTCAAATGGTAGTTCTATTTTTAGTTCCTTGAGAAATCTCCAAACTACTTTCCACAGGGGCTGGATTCATTTGCATTCCTACCAACAGTGTATAAGCATTCTCTTTCCTCTGCAGTCTTGCCAGTATCTGTTAATTTTTTACTTTTTAGTAATAGCCATTCTGACTGGTGTGATGGTATCTTGTTGCGGTTTTGATTTCCATGTCTCTGATGATTAGTAACATGGAAACGCTACCATTTTTAAAAGTTCTGACACTTAGAATGTTCTACTCTATGTATAGCCACACTCTATCCACTTGTAGTTCCACTTTCTGAAGCTGATCTAAGTGTCCCTCCTCTGACTTAGTCACTTCGCTGTGCTTCTTTATTCATTCACTCTGTCAACACTTATTCTATACCCATGGTGTAGTCCCATGTGAGGCTCTGGGGACACAAAGAGAATTGCTAATACCTTTCTGTTCTAGAGGATCACACAGTTTAGTGGGGACACAGACATCAAGATAGAGAAATGATCATAATTGTGGCAGGTGCCATGCTGTGGTTAGGAAGGAAAGTGCCAAGGAACAGAAAAGAGGGAGAAACTATTTCTGCCCCTGAGAGCATTCAGGAAAGCTCAAAATCCAAGAGAAGGTGATTTTGTTCTCTGTTGAAAAGATGACTAAGATTTTGCCAACTGAAGACATTTTATGAAAGAATTCTGCATACGAACAAATGTGAATGGGCCAGTTTTATGCAAATGACAGTGAGAAGTCCAATATGGCTGAATCTGGGTGATAGGGATGAAGCTGAAGGAGCCAGTGTGTGAAGGGTTTTATTTTCAGTGCTTACAAATTTGGCTTTATGCCCCATGCAATGAAGCTAACAGGGATTATGAAGAGCAAATTAAATGATCAGATTTGTCCTTAGGAAGATGACTATAACAACGAAGGTAGAGTATTGACTACAGTGGGGAGAGTCTTGTGTTAAGAAGCTATTGCAAAAGTCCAGACAAGACATGGTGAAGACCTATACTCCAGTGGTAGAAAGATAGGAGTGAGACTTCAGAAGTTACTAATGGCACCGACGTTAACATATTGGATAAGGGAACCAAAGGAGTGGGAGAAGGAAAAAGTAAATCTGTTTTCCTTACTTGAGAGACTAAAGGGATGGTGACATCATTAACAACAACATCAACAACAAAATACAGAGGGCAGAAGATTTGGGGAATAATTATAAGGTAATAACATCTTCAGGTGGGAATATACAGAAGACAGCTGGAAACGTGGATCTGCAGCTTGTCAAAGTTGGAAATAAACTGAAAGAAAAACCCCAGACAAAATAAGCAGAACAAAATAGTTCAAAGGAACTCAGTTGAATACCTAGTGAGGTATTACTCTGACCTCTCTTATTCTGTTAATTCCATTATTTTTGCCAAAGATGCTGTTGACACTATGAACTCATTCAGAAGACAGCAATATAAACAAAATGGATGAAAAGAGCTTAACGGTTTGCTCCTTTACAATTCTGAATTTGGCTTAGTTTTGCAGTTTGCAACAAATGCAGTTCATTTATCTGTTTTACATGTCATATTGTAATTTGTCATTCTTATCATATCAGATTTTTCTATCTTCCCCAAGACATCTTCCTGAGGAAAAGTACTTTAAGGCATTTCAGGACCTTGTATTCTTAAAATAAGGTCCTTCACACACACAAGTTCTGAGAAGTGACCAATGGGTCTCACAATTGCACATAAACCCAGTTCTCTCTTTTACCATGTGGCATCTGCCTTTTTTTCTTTTTTTTTCCTGACTCTAAACAGATATCTACTGCAGAAGACAATGTCCATGAACCTGCTTGGAAGATGCTGGAAAGCCACTGAGTTAGCCACCAATCTTTATGAAACAGTCTCCCTCCAGTGCTAGCATGACTGGTTTTGCCTCCAGCTAACCACTGCCAAAGATGTCTCCTGTCCTGCTTCTTCACTGGGTCAGGTAGTAGGCTGCTCCAGCCTCTTGCTGCCATCACTGTTTTAGTTCTATGTACCCCTGCTTATTCTGGTGCTATATATAGAATACAAAGCAGGAGTCTTCAGTGTTTCCAAAATTGTTCAAAAATTTGGTAAAGGATGCTTTAGGATTTGATCATCAACACACTCAAGCCTACATTTCGGAGGGTGGCAGAATGAACCATGCAACTTCCATGGTTTGGTTCCTTCTACTCTCAAAGCATTGAATTTATATCAAGCTTCTCTATGTCAACTCTCTATTGCCATAGGATGGACTACTTCCTAAAAGACTCTTCAGTCCGTCATGCAAATGGGCTCCTGGCAGGCCCATCCTCTAAGACTCTCCAGATGTATCTAATCATACCTGATTCAAGGTAAATACTGATTGAGTGATCATATGTTATGCTGTGTATCTCAAGTAGAATAACCAGGATAAAGACTATGTAACCTCCAAATAGGCAATGGAAAGGAAGTGTCAAATCAAAAGGAATTAATGCTATCTCTCAGACATTTATTTTGAGAAACTCAAAACACTATCCCATTATTATATTCAAACACAAATTTGATCAGTCTAAAGCAATATCAGCCAGAAGACAGATATATTTCTAAATAAATATATAGAGCTGAAAAGGCCAACTTGTACAAGGAAAATCCATTTTTCAAATGATTGTGCATCATTTAATTTTTACAACATCATGCATGAAAGTTTAGCTACCTTAGCCTTTGGAAATAATAATAAAAACAGAATATCATATATCCATTTACTTTGGGTCTGCTAACTTTATTAGTTTTAATATTAATAAAAAGGTATTTATTATGAGTATGCTGGACAGATTAATTTTAACTGTAAGCTTTCCCCAGTGATTATGGTTCTGCATAGAATTTTCAAAAGAATTTAGAAGATATAAAATTTCTTCCTGTGACTAATGTCTTTATAGTTTAACACTACTAAAAATTGTTTTCCGAATTAAAAGCACTTTGTTTTCAGTGATTTTTTTTTTAATTTTTAAAATTATTTTTTGTTGAATAGGAGTGGTGAGAGAGGACATCCCTGTCTTGTGCCAGTTTTCAAAGGGAATGCTTCCAGTTTTTGTCCATTCAGTATGATATTGGCTGTGGGTTTGTCATAGATAGCTCTTATTATTTTGAGATACGTCCCATCAATACCTAATTTATTGAGAGTTTTTAGCATGAAGGGTTGTTGAATTTTGTCAAAGGCCTTTTCTGCATCTATTGAGATAATCATGTGGTTTTTGTCTTTGGTTCTGTTTATATGCTGGATTATGTTTACTGATTTTTGTATGTTGAACCAGCCTTGCATCCCAGGGATGAAGCTCACTTGATCATGGTGGATAAGCTTTTTGATGTGCTGCTGGATTTGGTTTGCCAGTATTTTACTGAGGATTTTTGCATCAATGTTCATCAAGGATATTGGTCTAAAATTCTCTTTTTTTGTTGTGTTTCTGCCAGGCTTTGGTATCAGGATGATGCTGGCCGGAAGTTCTGGCCAGGGCAATCAGGCAGAAGAAGGAAATAAAGGGCATTCAATTAGGAAAAGAGGAAGTCAAATTGTCCCTGTTTGCAGATGACATGATTGTATATCTAGAAAACCCATCGTCTCAGCCCAAAATCTCCTTCAGCTGATAAGCAACTTCAGCAAAGTCTCAGGATACAAAATCAATGTGCAAAAATCACAAGCATTCTTATACATCAATAACAGACAGAGAGCCAAATAATGAGTGAACTCTCATTCACAATTGCTTCAAAGAGAATAAAATACCTAGGAAGCCAACTTACAAGGGATGTGAAGGACCTCTTCAAGGAGAACTACAAACCACTGCTCAATGAAATAAAAGAGGATACAAACAAATAGAAGAACATTCCATGCTCATGGGTAGGAAGAATCAATATCGTGAAAATGGGCATACTGCCCAAGGTAATTTATAGATTCAATGCCATCCCCATCAAGCTACCAATGACTTTCTTCACAGAGTTGGAAAAAACTACTTTGAAGTTCATATGGAACCAAAAAAGAGCCCACATCGCCAAGTCAATCCTAAGCCAAAAGAACAAAGCTGGAGGCATCACGCTACCTGACTTCAAACTATACTACAAGGCTACAGTAACCAAAACAGCATGGTACTGGTACCAAAACAGACATATAGACCAATGGAACAGAACAGAGCCCTCAGAAATAATGCCACATATCTACAACTATCTGATCTTTGACAAACCTGACAAAAACAAGCAATGGGGAAAGGATTCCCTATTTAATAAATGGTGCTGGGAAAACTGGCTAGCCATATGTAGAAAGCTGAAACTGGATCCCTTCCTTACACCTTATACAAAAATTAATTCAAGATGGATTAAAGACTTACATGTTAGACCTAAAACCATAAAAACCCTACAAGAAAACCTAGGCAATACCATTCAGGACATAGGCATGGGCAAGGACTTCATGTCTAAAACACCAAAAGCAATGGCAACCAAAGACAAAATTGACAAATGGGATCTAATTAAACTCAAGAGCTTCTGCACAGCAAAAGAAACTACCATCAGAGTGAACAGGCAACCTACAGAATGGGAGAAAATTTTCACAACCTACTCATCTGACAAAGGGCTAATATCCAGAATCTACAATGAACTCAAACAAATTTACAAGAAAAAAACAGACAACCCCATCAAAAAGTGGGCAAAGGATATGAACAGACACCGCTCAAAAGAAGACATTTATGCAGCCAAAAAACACATGAAAAAATGCTCATCATCACTGGCCATCAGAGAAATGCAAATCAAAACCACAATGAGATACCATCTCACACCAGTTAGAATGGCGATCATTAAAAAGTCAGGAAACAACAGGTGCTGGAGAGGATGTGGAGAAATAGGAACACTTTAACACTGTTGGTGGGACTGTAAACTAGTTCAACCATTGTGGAAGACAGTGTGGCGATTCCTCAGGGATCTAGAATTAGAAATACCATTTGACCCAACCATCCCATTACTAGGTATATACCCAAAGGATTATAAATCATGCTGCTATAAAGACACATGAACACGTATGTTTATTGCAGCACTATTCATAATAGCAAAGACTTGGAACCAACCCAAATGTCCAACAATGATAGACTGAATTAAGAAAATGTGGCACATATACACCATGGAATACTAAGCAGCCATAAAAAATGATGAGTTCATGTCCTTTGTAGGGACATGGATGAAGCTGGAAACCATCATTCACAGCAAACTATCGCAGGGACAAAAAACCAAACACTGCATGTTCTCACTCATAGGTGGAAATTGAACAATGAGAACACATGGACACAGGAAGGGGAACATCACACTCCGGGGACTGTTGTGGGGTGGGGAAAGTGGGGAGGGATAGCATTAGGAGATACACCTAATGCTAAATGATGAGTTAATAGGTGCAGCACACCAACATGGCACAGGTATACGTATGTAACAAACCTGCACGTTGTGCACATGTACCCTAAAATTACAGTATAATAATAAAATTTAAAAAAACAAAAAAACAAAACAAAACAAAACAAAATTATTTTTAAAAATGTTTGTGGGTACATAGTAGGTGTATATATTTATGGGGTACATGAGATGTTTTGATACAGGCATGCAATGCCTAATAATCACATAATGAAAAATGGGGTGTCCATCCCCTCAAGTATTTAGCTTTTTACAGCTTTTACTTACCATGCATATATGTCTGTCTTAAAGAAGAAACAAAAGAGAAAAAGGCAAGAAAAGTGAATAAAAATAAAGGAAGATAAATTTAGTCACCAGCCTTATATCTGACCCTAATGCATAAAGGCTGTACTGAGGGCGATTGCTGGGAAATGCAATTTCAGCTTTTTTTTAAGGTACGTCATGGTGATATATCTACTAATGCCAATGCTGTGTAGAGAATGGGAACCTCATCCCGGAAGCATTTCAGTTTTCAAAAATCACTCAGGAAGAGTTGTCAAAAATATTCTGAACTTTATTATAATTGTTGTAAATCACTTGGATTTTGACAAACACAATAGGTTTGGCTTTTTAAATCATTTTTTAGTCAAACATCCACAAGCAAAATGTAATGAAATTTTCTCTGTGCAACTCAAATCGGATTTCTATATGAATCAGAATATATATGTAGGCCTTGAATGAATAAAAGAGTATGTGCCAAGAACATACACTGGGGAAAAGATAGTCTATTCAATAAATGGTGCTGGGACAACTGGATGTCCATATGCAGAAGAATGAAACTAGAACCCTATCTCTCACTACATACAAAAATCAAATCAAAATGAATTAAAGGTTTAAATCTAAGACCTCAAACTATGAAACTAGTACAAGAAAACATTGGGGAAAATCACCAAGACATTGGTCTGAGAAAAATTTTCTTGAGCAATACCCTGCAAACACAGGAAACCAAAGCAAAAATAGAAAGACGGGATCACATCAATTTAAAAAGCTTCTGCACAGCAAAGGGAATAATCAACAAAGTGAAGAGACAACTCACAGAATGTGAGAAAATATTTGCAAAATGCCGGTCTGACAAGGGATTAATAACCAAAATATATAAAGAGCTCAAATAACTCTATAGGAAAAAATTTAATAATCCAATAAAAAATAGACAAAAGATTTGTATAGACATTTCTCAAAAGAAGACATATGAGTGACAAACAGGCATATGAAAACATCACTGATCATCAGAGAAATGCAAATCAAAATTACAATGAGATATTATCTCACTCCAGTTAAAAATGGTTTTTATTCAAAAGACAGGTGATAGCAAATGCTGGAGAAGATGTGGAGACTAGGGGAACCCTTGTACACTGTTGGTGGGAATGTAAAGTAGTACAACCACTATGGAGAACAGTTTGGAGGTTCCTCAAAATCTAAGAATAGAGCTAACATATGATCCAGGAATCCCACTGCTGGTTATATACCCAAAAGAAAGGAAATCAGTATATCAAAGAGATATCTGCACTCTCATGTTTGTTGCAGCACTGTTCACAGTAGCCAAGATTTGGAAGCAACTTATGTGTCCATTAGCAGATGAATGGATGAAGAAAATGGGCACATATACACAATAGAGTACTCTTCAGCCATAAAACAATGAGATCCTGCCATCTGCAACAACATGGATGGAACTGGGGGTCATTATGTTAAGTGAAATAAGCCAGGCACAGTAAGACAAACATTGCACGTTCTCAATTATTTGTGGGATCTAAAAATCAAAACAGCTGAACTCATGGAGATAGAGAGTAGAAGAACGGTTGCCAGAGAATGGGAAGGATAATGGATACAACAAAAAATAGTTAGAAACAATGAATAAGAACTAGTTTGACAGCAAAACAGGGTAATTATAGTCAATAATAATTTAATTGTACCTTTTGAAATAACTAAAAAATATAGTTGGATTGTGTTTAAAACAAAGGATAAATGCTTGGGGGCACAGATAATCCAATTTCCATGATATGATTATTATGCATTTCATGCCTGTATCAAAAAATCTTATGTACCCCATGATATATATACTTTGCATATGGCAAGTTGGGTGATTTTTGTCTTTCTCCTCTGCTAGATTGTGATAAAGATATATACCTAGTATGTACTCACAAAAATTAAAAATTAAAGAGTATGTAAGACAAGCTTTTCCTAGTGAAGACAGGCTGTTCCCAGAAATTAATTACTTCTGAAAGAGAGAAAATAATTGGAAGATAATTTAAGAAAATATCAATGATATGGGCATATGCTTTGGATAAGAACAGAATCCATTGAAAACATAGTCCATTAACTGGCCACTTCTCTGACGACCCATTCTGTATTTCACTTCCTCGAACTGACATTTGCAAATGAGCCACCTTTGCCTTTCCTGGCTACATCAGGTATACTTTGCATGTGGCAAATTGGCTGATACTTGTCTTTCTCTTCTGCTAGATTGGAGTAACTTGAAGGCAAGGACTAGGTCTCAGTCATCTTTTATGTTTCTAGTACATGGTACAGTGTTTGGAACATAGCAAATGCGTAAAAAATTGTCAAAGGAATGAATAAGTGAGTGAATGATGAATGAATGACTTTCTATTCCATAAGGCAGCTGCACTTTCCTAAACTGGGAAAAGTTGACAGGTTAAGCCCTCAGGGAAAGAAGGATGCTACTTCCAACAGAATGCTCAGCACTTCTCTGGGAACATAAAATGCAGGTTCCAGAATGTATTCTCACATGGAGTGACACAGACCAGCAATCAGCACTCTGAAGTGGATCTGACAGGAATGTCAATGGCCATGTTGTGATTAATAATGGAGGGACAGTACAGGCACTCAGAAAAGAGCAGCTTGCACTGCCTAATTTCCTCCATTATCAATTCAGCTGAAGTACCCAGACAACTTGATTCAAGTTTTCATAGCTGTTAAAATAACTA
Source organism: Homo sapiens (assembly GCF_000001405.40). Lineage (NCBI taxonomy): Eukaryota > Metazoa > Chordata > Mammalia > Primates > Hominidae > Homo > Homo sapiens. Next base: position 44,349,394 of record NC_000012.12, on the reverse strand, counting down.
CCTCATTCATATTTTATTGAATGGGTGGCTTTCTTTCAACATGTGGTTATTATAAAGAAACTGACGTATTGTTTGTTTAAACAATAGAAATTCATTGTATGACAGAAGCCCTGGAGAATGAGTTAAATGGGTCTATTAGCTGTTACCTTTCACAGAAAAGAATTAAACATACATCTCTGAAAGGTTGAAGAGGCACACTCCATCAAACTTTACAATCTATGCCTTTGAAAATGTTATCATTGATAACAGTCTATAGTATTTTAAGAGGGGCAAAAATGCAATTTGTTTGAATTCCTGTATCAGTGGATCTTTGTTAGAAATTTATGCTTGATTAATACAAATATAGTTTCGGTACTCACTGTGGTTGGGAAAGGCTTTCAACCAAAGCATGTTGTTTTAATTATCTCACTGGTGTAGAACTTCAAGCCTGGAGATACAGGCTAAGCTATAAAGGAATCATCTCTCTGACAATCACCTCTCTGACTGACATTCAATCAATACTCTTTCAGAATGAAAAAAGAATAAGACCTGTTAAGAAAAACAAACTCTTTTGGGAAAAGGGGCCCGTTCTAATGGTCCCAACTCTTCACCCTCACACTTCTATGTCTTGAGGTTTTATTAGTTTGATCCTACTTGCCATCACTACCCATTACCCAAAGGTACCAATATCCCCTTTTCTTAGTCTAAAGACAAAACCCACAAATGAAACAAAATGCCCTTCCCATTATTCTTTTTAATATAACTAGGTCTAGCATTAACTTTCTAAAGAAAATTTAAGAAAAAATTCAAGAGCTATAAACACAAAATGTTTTAAAAATTGTTAAAATGTACAGTTCTGAGATAGCAAATTATGCCATCACCTGCTAGGCACTAAGAACGTATTATCAGAATGTGTTTTGGGCATATTGCTTCATTTGTGGCTCTTGTCTTTGGACTAGGGGGTATTGGTACCTAAGAAAAGGGGGTATTGGTACCTTGGGGTAAAGGGTGATGATGGCAGGAAGGGTCAAAATAATAAAACCCCAAGACATAGTTAGAAGTTTGAGGGTGAAGAGTTGGGATCATTAGAATGGGTCCCTTTTCCCACCAGAGTATATTTCTCTATAGCTCTCTCTTTTTTTTTTTTCATTCTTAAAGAGTATTGCCCTTGTCAAAGATATTATTCCTTTATATCTTAAACCAGAATGTGTTCTGTTTTAAAGTCAACCTTGGTTAATTTCTGAGATGTTCTTTATGTTACGTGATGTTCCTACTTTATGTTGAGCTCTGTGATAAAACTTTCACATCCTCTTGAAGAGAAACACAACTACCCTTAAAGGTCCCTCAGCTTCTTTTTAAGATGATGTCCATGTAGGACTCTAACTAGCAGTAGTTTCCATTACTCCATTGGTCACTATTTGTGATTAACCCTCTTCAGCACATACTTCAGCCTATAAGGTCATGGTGCTCAATCCTGACTCACTGGGTTCCACTTTCAGAGTCGCTTCAATTGCTCGACAGCAAGGCCAGGATGTAGAAGTTTTTTAAAAGTCCCAAAATGATAACATGCAGCCAGATTTGAAACTTAAGAGCTGAGTAAAGAAGAGAGGAAAAATTCTGATGACAGGGTACAGTTAGCGGTGTTTGACTATTTCTCTGAGTTTTTAAAAATATGCTGCCCTCTCATTTTGACCCCTTGATTACTAACTGTTGTAAGAAAATCACCTCTGTTAGTAAGCAGAACACAAAGCTTCCCAAGAGAGAAGGGACAGCTGCACTGAAGATTGTTACCATCTTAAATTATTGGGGGAACAGTGTCAGATATAAGAAAATTCATAAATGATCTTGATGATTGTCTCTCCAGAGAGCTCCTATGCTCATGTATGAAAGATTTGGGGTTTATAATGTGAGGAAGTTTCCTACATAACAAAACACATATATACCATTGAAACTGTGAGGTTATGTTGAAAGATAGGAATCATTCAGAGAAACTAATACCTTTGTCCTCTGTGAATTCTTAAAACTTAAGTACCCTTCAACCCTAGAGCATTCTTGGGAACATACTTGAGATTTGTATGATTCTATCACAGGTTGTGAATTTTCTGGCACTCATATTTATTTCTACATCTATGTACCCTAAGTAGAGGTTAAAAATGCATGGCATTTGAAGTCCTTCCAGAATCTGTTACCTGTGGGAAAAACTCCAAACTTTTAATCTAGAAAACTATTCACCATGGAATAAAAGGTTACAATATAGGTAGGATTGATTTAAGTGGAGGATTAGACAATGGGAAAAAGAAGGCTTTTAACTAATTTGCTCTACGTGTGTGTGTGTGTGTGTAAAGGCAGATTGGAATAGAAATTACAGGGGAGAAGATTTACAAATGAATTATATTCAGTTGTCTAAACAATAAAAAATAAATGTCCTTATCAGGAAAAAAAGTGGTTAAAACTAATTCATTGGCCTAGAAAAATTAGCTTTTCTCATAGCGCATCCCTCAGAAGAGCATTATTTTCAATAATATGCTTACCTAATACAACCACTTGCAAAGAGACAACCATTTTGCCACTTCAGTGAGCTGAAGATTTTACTGATATTTTGGCCTATGGCATCTTTTCCCTTGTGCTGGAAAATTCATCAGTTAAAATCCACATTCAGAGGAAGCACTCAACTCTGAAATCACTCTGCTGACTCAAATTGTGTTCTGAAGGGAATTGGTCAAGCCGCATTTGACACAACGAGGTACAACTTGGCAACATATGCTGAAGTGACACAGTCTGGGGAACAAGGAACAAAGCATGTCCTGCTGCCTATACCATGGGATCGCACAGTATGTGCAAGAGTCTGAAAGACAAATAGACCCAATGAGTACTTTTCCTATTGGGAAAAGGAAAAAGAGGGTGAGAATGAGTGCAAGAACAAGAGTGAGAGAGAGAAAGACTCTTCATTGAGTACTGTGTGTGCTGCATGTTTCCTGTGCATTTTTGAGGAGGAGATTATGAGCAACCACATTGTATATTTTGAAGCAGGATGAAAAACCACATTTATCTGATTTATGAACAACTCACACAGAAAAAGCATCATTATGCAGGAACAGAAAGTTGTATAGGTAAAATAATTCAATCCAACTTTGTAGAACACTGCAGTGGAAAGCAACACACCATTTATAAATTTAGTACCAAGCATTTTGTTCAAAATAATCATTTCAAGAGCTTAATTAAAGGAAAGCAGTGGATACAATAATAGAAGTCTTGTTTCCCAGCTAAGACTTAGACTGAAATGATTTAAGTTAACTTACTTAAAGGTAACCAAATTAAACAAATAAAATGATTTTATTTGTATCGAACTGATAAAACTTCAGGGGAAAATAATTCAATACTTTAAAAGATATAGTTTAACAGATCACAATTTCTTCATCTTTTAAAAGAGGGAATTTTAGTAGATGATCTGTAAGATTTCTTGCAGGTCCAGAAGATTCTGTTTCTATAGAAGTAAAATAAGCAGCCTTTGTGGAGGATAAGAGATTACACTGTGCCTAATTATAATCCTATTTACAGAACCCTGAAAGATAATCTAATAGCTCCAGGGCTCACTATTCAGATATATATTTTCAATTTTAAAATGTAGAATTAATTACATCTGTACATACAAAATAACAATAACAACCAGGAAATAAGTAAATAAATAACAATGATACGTTGACTATGTAAATGAATAGCAATTAGCGTTCTTTTTAACTTAATCTCCACGGATTTTTGTATTAGTCTGTTTGGTATATCTTTAGCTCTTCCCTGTTTGAATAACACCTATAATGCTGATTATAGTAATAACAGATCCAAATCATTTGGGATCTATTTTGTGCTCCACATTTTACATATTTTCTTATTTAATCATCACTATGTATTTAATCAATACTATGAATATGTGTTTTATCTGTTTTACAAAATGAGAAAATATGCACTCATCTCAGAGAGGTAAAGTAACCTACCTAAGGTCTCCCCCATCTATACAGTGACAATTCTAGAAATTGAATCTGTGTCAGACTGAAATCAAGGTGCTGCTATTCCACATGATAAAGGAACTGAGGGGAATATGCCCTGAAGAAATAGGAGCTGGTGAAATAACCAGAAATTCAGAGCCAACACAATACCCTCAATATTCCCGCCAGAAAACTCAGCTCTGGTGACTTTGCCTGGACAACAGTCCTTCTGACAGTGAGTCCCACTGGCATGGATGGAACCCCCTTTCCACCATGTTATCCCACCAAAGGAGCCCTACTCCTTCTCTTCTGGGCCAATCTCTGCTCCTCCACACCAGCCCCCAAGTCCAACCCAGCCTGTAGCTTGGAAATCTCATTCTTCTTCCCAGTCCCCAGATAGTTGAAATCCCTGTTGTGATTCTTGATGACTGGTTTAATGCACCTTCTCTCGGTAGGCCCACTCTGTTGAGGGGATAAAGATGAAAGATGATAGCAAGGGCAGGAGAAGCAATGCAAACAATCAGATGTCCCAACAGAAGGCATAAGAGACCCTGCAATCCTACTCACTGGGCAGAACCTTGACCTTTTCCTATCCAGGATCTCCTCTATGTAGCAATGACAGCATGAGTAGAAAAGGAGAGGAGCACTGCAGACATGTAACTATGTGACTGGACAATGATACTGACTGGACACAGGACTCTGTCCCCAACAGTTTACTGACAGATGAGCTTAGAGTCACAAATTTATGCAATACTACATATTTCTCCATCTGTGTTTTTTCTTCGACTCCACCAAGATTCCCAAATAGTATCTCCACCCAGATTCCCAAATAATATCTAGACCAACCCCAGGTCCTTTCTTTAACACTCCATATCTGCCCAAATTAGGCTTGTGCATCACCTCCTTGCGTGACCACCTGGACAGTAGTTTGATATTCTTATTGGTGCCAACTGGACCAGGTACATGATTTGAGAGGCCTAGCAGAAATGAAAACATGGAGCCCCTTGTTCAAAAGGTATTACAAATATGAAGAATGCAACAACTGTCATTAAACCAAGTACAAAGTTCTTCAGAGCATGGGAAGCAGTGTAACTGCACAAGTGGCATACTTATAAAGCTAGCCCTGGGTGTCTGTTCAGTCTTTACTTGGTGAAAACCATACTCCTAGTTGCTTCTCCTCTAGGGATATAAAAACATATGATGACTCTATTATCAAAACTATGTAAAGCAGCAGATGTTTGCTTTTCATCATACCTTACAGTTCTCAGGTGATGTTAATAGGTTACCTATATTTCCCTGGCATAGTAGTTGTGATTTTAAATGCAAGCCTGCTCTCCCTACTTATTTCTCAACAATTTAAGACCAGCTTTGATATTTACCACCCATTACCTTTGTGCTCAGCACTGAACAAGCCAGGCAACCAACCGCTATGAGCTGCCCCCACCTGTCTGATCTACCCCAGCTTCCGGCTTCTGGCTCCTTGCCATGAGCAAGACCATAAACTCAACATCATGGTCCACTTCAGTGCCAGCCAAACATAGTCAAAGATGATCAGCTCATTACCAAGCTCCCCAGGCTTGAAATAGTCCAGTGGAGACTCTGACACTGAGGATGTAAAACTGGATTTTTAAAGTTCAGTCACTGTAATATTCCTTCGTCTATGAATATAATTGATTTTAACATTTTATTTTAAACAGTGATAAAATACACACAACATACAATTTACCATCTTAATCATTTTTAAGTGTATAATTTAATAGTGTTGAGGACATTTAAATTTTGGTCAACCTGATTACCATCTATCTCTACAACCTTTTTAATTGTCTCAAACTTAAACTTCATACCCATTAAACAAGTCCCCATGTCCCCTGTCCCCCAGGCCCCTGGCAACTACCATTTCACTTTTTGTCTCTATAAATTCGACTACTCTAGGTATCTCATAAAAGTGGAATCATACAGTATTTCTCTTTTTGTGACTGCATTATTTAACTTTTGATGTAAATTTTTCAGGTGAGTGTGGAGAACTGGAAGCAAGTCCCTTTAGGGGCATCAATAGACAACCAGTAAGTTTTAGGGAATTTGCTTATTCCCATAGGAAATAACAACTGAAAGGGAGAGTTGGATCTGTTCCCTGGGTTGGAAATATTCTCATCACCACTTCCCCTAGGCAAAGTCTCTTTTCCGGCCGGGTGTGGTGGCTCATGCCTATAATCCCAGCACTTTGGGAGGCCAAGGTGGGCAGATCACTTGAGGTCAGGAGTTTGAAACCAGCCTGGCCAACATGGCGAAACCCCATCTGTACTAAAAATACAAAAAATAAAAAATAAAAAAAAATAGCTGGGCATGGTGGTGGGCACCTGTACTAAAAATACAAAAAAAAAAATTAGCTGGGTATGGTGGTGGGCACCTGTAAACCCAGCTACTCGGGAGGCTGAGATACCCGAGTCACGAGAATCACTTGAAGAAGGGGAAGGAGGTGAGGGGCAGAGGTTGCAGTGAGCAGAGATTGTGCCACTTCATTCCAGTCTGGGCAACAGAGTGAGACTGTCTCAGAAACAAAAACAAAAACAAACCATTCTCTTTTTCCTTTTATTCTTATTTATCAAGAAGAATGTTAAAAACCTTTGAGGTCAAATGTCTCAATCTACATTTGCCAGATGGTCTTTTTAAAAGTTATTACTAAAGAAGAAAAATATGCCTTTTTGTCTCATGATAATAAGACAATAATTTAGGTAACCAAACCTGCAAACTTGCCCACTGTTAGATATTTAATGAGTCTTTTTTTTTTTTTTTTTGACTAATCAGCAACTCATTTCTGTTTTACCTCTCCTCAGTTCACCCTTTGTACTGGGAACACTCTGCCTACATATGCAAATTGTTGCAGGCTGACCTTGATAAATGGTCTGTGTTTGTATAATTTAGATTAGTTCAGTAATTGTTTGGAACAGAGGCCAGCAATCTTGCCAGGGGTATTAAACATTCACTTTCAGGACTTGGTGGTCTGTGAGGAAGGAAAGGTCAGACCAAAGCTGCTTTACCACCTTCTCCCAAGGTCATGTCTACTTTTGCTGTCTCTAAGCAGTTGCCCAGAATCCATCAGCTGGAAGCTGGCTAAAAAGAGGGAGGGCAGATTCCCTAGATTTTCCTGGAAGCAGAGATGTAGTAAAGCTGGCTAACTTCAGAAAAAAGTAGAGAGCAAAGCTAAATCGAAAAGGTAATAAAAGTGATTCTATGGCCTTTAGACATGACAAACGACCTTCTGTAGCTCTGCTTTCAAACGCCAGTACACTGGAATTGTTCCTGAGAAGCTAGATAGCTGACTTGTAGTTTTACAATATACTTTACGTTTGTTTTATTATATGGAACTTTTTTTTTGTCTTTTAAAATATCTGGGAACTCCTATGAAGTACAAGTAAGAATATGGTAGCCTCTAAGAATTCCAGGGTTTGATCTCTGTCCCTTATTCGATCTGACAATACGCTTAGCTCTGAACAGTTTTCATGATGAGAGAACTCACTTGCCACGTCAGCCTCTGCTGGAGTGCCTCACTGCTTAGCGTTCTGTTTCATTAATCCAAAACTGTTTCCTTTAACATATTCTCTGAGCCCATGGCTAATATGTTTACTGACTCTTCTAGATTCAATATCCATGAACACTGCTATAGTTTCTATCCGTTATTCCTTTCCCAGCTATATAACCCAATCAAATGCTTGGATCCTTTGTCATCGGATGTGACTGCAAATTCTCCCATGCCATGGTTGTCTCTCCTAACATGTTCTAGTTGATTTAGAGACCCAAACACAGTCACAGGCCAAGATGACCACCTCAGAGCAGAGCAAGACTAACACCAACCCTACATTCCCATGTTTATTGCAGCACTATTCACAATAACAAAGATACAGAATCAACTGAACAGTCCATCAATGGATGATTAAAGAGAATGCAGCATATATACACAGTGGAATACTATTCAGCCATAGAAAAGAATGAAATCATGTCTTTTACAGCAACATGAATGGAACTGGAGGTCATTATCTTAAGTGAACTAAGTTAGACGCAGGGAAATACCACAGATCCTTACCCATAAGAGGGAGCTAAACAATGTGTACACTTGGGCTGGGCACTGCACACTTGGGCTGGGCATGGTGGCTCATGTCTGTAATCTCAGCAATTTGGGAGGCTGAGGTGGGAGCATTGCTTGAGCCCAGGAGTTCATGACCAACCTAGGCAACATGGTGAGACTCTGACTTTAAAATTTTTTTTTTCTAATTAGCTGGGCATGGTGGTGTGTATCTGTAGTCCCAGTTACTTGGGAGGCTGAGGTAAGAGGATTGCTTGAGCCCAATAGGTCCAGAGTGCAAAGAGCTGTGATCATGCCACTGCACTCCAGCCTGAGTAACAGAGTAAAATCCTGTCTAAAAAAATGTGTACACTTGGACACAGAAAATGGAATGATAGACAATGAAGACTTGGAAGGGTGAGAGATGGGAGGTGGGTGGATGGTGAGAAGTTACTTAATAGATGCAATGTACATTATTCAGGTGATGGGTACCCTAGAAGCCCTGACTTGGCCATTGCACTATGCATGTAGCAGGACTGCACTTGTATGCTATAAATTGATGCAAATTAAAAATATGTGTACAATGTAAAAAATGTTCACATGATCAGAAATTCAAACATGCCCTGTAAGCATATAGATGCTTGTAACACAAAATCAATGATCTATCCTCCTCCACAACCTCCAGCTCCATCTCCTTCTTGTAAAGGCAACTACTAGATATTCTTTCAGTAAATAAATTCTTGACGTGCATAGCTAAGTAGTTAGATGGTTTGGCATGGGAGACTCAGCTGTTTCTTCCCCAAGCCTCATATATTTTTAAGAGGAAAGGGCCTCTGTAGCTCGAGACTGGCTGAAAAGAGCAGGCAGGCACCACAGATGTTACTGAGAACGGAACTGTGGTAATGCTGGCAAACTTTCTCAGGAAAGTAGAAAGCATAGCCAAATCACAGTGTTTATAAACGCAATCCTGTGGCCTTTAGATTTGATAGGTAAGAAGTAAGTACTTCCCTGTTTTGATTGGTTTTCCTTTAATTATAAATGAGGTTGAGCCTTTCTTGGGAAATGTATTAGCCATTTATATTAATCAACTTTCTCTTTATAGTCTTTACTCACTTTTTACCTTCATGCATTTACTTCATTTACGTCATCTTTATTCCTTTGGTGTAAGGAGTCAGGTTGTGATCCAACATTTGTTTTTCACAGACGCCTAGCCAGTGTCTCAAAGGTTACTGAATAATTTACCTTTCCCTGACTGATGTAAAATACCACCTTCATTTTATATTAAATTATTTCTATATGTAGTTATGTTCCAAATCTCTATCCTAATCCAGTTAACTTCTCTATTTCTTTTTAATGCAAAAACTATTTTAGCTGTGGCTTCATTACAATATTTTAATATCTGGCAGTGCATTGCAGACTTTCCATAGCTAACTTTGCATATATATTTCTTCACTTTAAATGTAGAATTGTCAGGTTCGGAAAACACTTCTTGATTTGGATATATTAATATATGTATATTGGATATATTATATATAAAAATCATATATGAGTAACTTAGGGAAAATTAAAAGTATTGATAATATTGAATCCTCCAATTCAAAGCAAAGTACTTTTTATACATTTTTTCTTATATACCTCAGCAGAAATTTTTAAGGGCTTTTTCACAATAAAATCTACATATTTTTAAACTTTATGCCAGCTATTGTATCTTTTTTGATTGCTTATAAATGAGATAACATCTTTCATTGTATTTTCTAATTAGTTACTGATTATAGAAAAGCTATGTGATATCTGTATAGTATATTAATGTTATAACCATTACCTTTCTGAAACCTAATTTTTCTAATAATATTTGTGCTGATTCTCTTGGTTTTCTGAGTATAGGATCATGTTAACAGCAAGCATGATGATCTTGCTTCCTGCTTTATATCTCTTATTTAATTCCATTGGCTACTACTTCTGATAAATGTCAGGTGTAGGGAATATAATATGGTGGATGTTGTAGATCATTGCAATCAGGGCCATGTCATTTCTCTTTTAGTATGACTTTAGTCTGCTAGAAGCTGGAAAATGAAAAACCACGTTTCCCAGGATTTCTTTGAGCTTGGATTCTACCTGCAATCTAGCAAGCAGATGTTTACCCATGAAATTTGGAGGGTAGAAATGAAGCAGATTGGGCTGTGCTTCTGTTCTATTGATTAGGCAAACCAAGAACATGGTCAGAGAGTTTCTGGAGTTTTCTTAACCACAGCATAGATACCAGTGTTTAATGCCTAGTTTTGTAGGTGTTGAGAAGCAGTGGGTAGGGTAGTCATTTTGCTACTGTAGGTCTTCCCTGAGATGGTGTGGTCATAGAGCCAATAGTTGGGCAGTGGCTGCAAGATTCCGTAGCTTCATAATCACAGCTGATGCAGCAGCTCTCTTGGCAGCTGTTCTACAAGACATACCTGGAAGCTATGCCCAGAGCTTGCTCCACCCACTTTTCCAACAATTTCAAAATGAATTTTGCCACATGGCCCTTTCTACTTAAACTAGCTAGATTGGTTTCTGTTGTCTGCCAAAAACTCTAATGATAAAACATTATTATCTTGCTCCCAACTTTAAAGAAAATATATTGATAATTCTAATATTTCACCACTAAGTATGATGCTGGTTTTTGAATATGTGTGTGTATAAATATATCTGCATGAAATTTAAAAAATACTTTTGAAATTATTCCTTTAATTTCCTTTACACTCATGGATGTTTACGCTTCTCATTTATATTTTTTTTTAATCCTTGGATTCCTTAATTTCCATTGTAATAGCACATTTATATGGACACGCACTATTTTTAAAATGTTTTACACATGTTACTTTCAGGCCTATTTTCCACCATCTTTTTCGTGTGTGTGTGTATGTGCGTATGTGTGTGTAAAGGATTTGGCCTAGAATTTCATAATGCAGTGTATTACCTATACCTTCCAGCTTTGTTTTATTTGTAAATCTGACCAGAATACAAATTTATATAATTTATTTAAAACAAAAAGTTAAACAGGATAGGTCTAAAGATAAAAACTCCTGCAAACCTTTAGAAATCACTTTATAGACTGACATAGATTTATTTATTAACATTTTTAGGTATAATCTTTAATCAGTTTCAAATCCACCAAATTATACTTACTTTTTCTTCATCTTTACCCACATTATCTTAATTTAAAGCAGGACATTGTGTTAAACTTCTCAAATAATTCATCAGTTGTGGAGAGGGTCAAGGTCTGTTTTTAAAAATATTCTGCTTTAATGAACCTTTAAAAATACTTCTTATAAAATATTTTAAAACAAGATTCTGAAAGCTTTAGCTCTAACGTAAAGCCTGTAAGATCCTTAAAATCAGAAATCAATAGTGCTTTTCCTTCTACTTTAAACATTCAGTCAGCATTTCCCCATGTAGGTCAGTGGTTCTTAATCATTCATGGCTGCTCCCTCTGTTCTACAGTTTGCAATGGAAAGAAACACTGTTAGGCTACATTTTTCTTCATCAGCACTTGATTTATACATTTTCCCCCAAATATTCTACATTCCCTAATTCAATTAATGCCAAGATACTTTGAACTACTGACTATGATATGCATTTTAATGTGAAAATATGTGTTTGAGAATGGATTGCATGCCGTCACACTAACCCCCAAGGAGCTCTTTCAAGGTTGGTTATCCTCATCTCTATCAGAAGGTACATCATTTGTTTATTTTCCTCTCACAGCTGTATGACTTAGTCCTTTGCAAATATGGAGTCAGATTGTCAGTCTATTGGAAAGATGTCCCTGAAGGATGAAGGGCGTGGGTCACTGGAAGCAGGATCACCTGTTCATCTCCTGAGATCTCTTTCTCTCCACAAAGCAGCTCTGTGACATTCTTACCTGACCAATGTCACCAGGTACTGCTAGAACCTGAATGTGTCTCCCAAATTAATTTGTTGAAACTTAGTCAACAATGTCATACTATTAATCACCTCACTTTTAGGAGGTGATTAAGTCATGAAGCTATAGTCCTCATGAATGGATTATAAAATCCATCCCTTATAAGAGGGTCAGTTCTTCTGCTCCTTCTACTACATGAGGATACAGCCTTCTTGCTCTCTGGAAGATACAGCAACAACATGCCATCTTGGAAGCAGAGAGCAGCCCTCACTGGATACCAAGACTGTGAGTGCATTGATCTTGAACGTCCCAGCCTCCCTGACTGTAAGGAAATATTTTTGTTCTTATTAATTGCCTAGCCTCAGGTATTTTGTTATGGCAGCACAAATGGACTAAGACAGCTTCTTCTATAAGCTTCCCCAACTGCAAAGGAATATTACACACAAAAGAGGATAAAAGATACCGAAGACACTGAGTTTCAAACACTGTTTTAAAAGATCAGTCTTATTTCTTACACGTTTAACTTCATAATACTGCTCCCGTCAGCAGCATCAATTATTATTATTACTTTTTAGGAATTGCTCTAGATGACAGTAGGTCTGATTGATGTTTACTCACATCAGTTTGAATGAATAATTGTAAAAGATGTAGATTGTAGCTTGAGTGGAGAAAAGGGAAAGGAAGAACAATCTAGACTTAATCATTTATAAAGTGCTTGCTCTATGACTGATACCATGTTTTACATATATAGCTTTCCAAAAAAAAACCCCTATGGTTTTTTTTAAAACAGGCTTTAAATGCAACCTTCAGGCACTTTTCCAATGCCTAATGGATTTCTCTAAAACATAAAACCAGGAATCCAGGAATTATTTGTTTCTGGCTTCCCATAAAGCTTCATTAATCACCACGGATCACTAAAAATCAGTAAAATGTCATAAAAGCTTGCTTTCCATTTTCCTGCAAATCTAATGCTGACACTTCTATAGTAAAGGGTTGGAAAACTGAATGGGTTAGACATGTTCTAGAATACAAATTAGTAGCTCATGGCAAATAGAAAATATATAGATGTATGTGTCTATGTATGAAATACACGCATAATAGTGGTTTTGCTGGCATGAGAACCTTTTTACTCATTACCATCAATTCACTTCTTTTTTATTTTCCTATTTTAAAAACAATCATAGATAAAATTTACTGAATTATTATTCTCTTCATTTTACAGATAAAGACAATAAGGCTTACAAACTTGCATAAGATCACAGGGTGAGTAAATGCTGGGACTAGGATTTGTACCTCAGCAAAGCTGACTTTAGAATCTGTCCTTTTAAACACAATACTATACAGCTTTCCCTCAAAACATTCTGCAACAAATTATGAAATGTATTTTTATGTGGCGCAAAGTATGAATCAAATAGCTGCACTCATGAAATTAAAAGTTAAACATGGTACTTGCCACATCCTAAATTGATTCTGTTTATGGAAGGTATATCATGTCTCTTCTACAGAAAAACCCATCTTTGCAACAAATCCATATTTCTGGTCTTATTTCTTATAGTTCAAACATTTCCCCCTTTAGATTGTAGTGTATGTAGTTTTAGTGGCAAGAATTGTCACTGATTGCTCATACATAAGACAATTAATGTATTCTACTGTTTAAGCATTATGGTACTTGAGTATTATAAATTTGGGTTAATCCAGCAAAATCTGTTTGATTCTCTTCAATGCTGTTGTGCAGATTTACAAACAGGTATATATTTTTAACAAAAAAGTGAAAAGCTTCACCAACAAAAATCTCTACATGTCTTTACCAAGATTATGTTTTTAGACAATATACATGAAAATCAGGACTACATAGTTATTACCATTAGATACATTTTAACTTTAATGATAGAAAGTTGAAATTCAGGATGTTTTTCTGATAATTCTGGCTCTGCCATTAATTAACTAGATGACCCTGAATATACAACTTAACCTCTCTGAGCATGTACTTCTTCCTTTGTAAAACAGATACAAGTATCATCTTACCTGATTGAACTGCTATGATGATCAATGAGAAAAAAGCAATGAGAGTGAATTAAAAATACTATTTTCATATAAAGTATTACTTTAAAATGATTTTACTCAGAGACTTATTCTGTTTAGACTTAGTTCATCTGTTGTAATCTAATCTAAATATTTTATTCTAAGCATGTTAGTTTCATGCTAAAAGCTACTAATGTCTCCATATTTCTGACCCCACCTTTCTACACTCCTCTGAATTTTCAAGTGCTTCCATAATCTGACTTCAGGCCACATATCCAGTGTTAGTTTCCACTGACAATCATCATGGACTCTGTTGCTCTTCTCAAGCCTATCACCATAATGTTCCATATCTCACCTACAGTGCTCCCAATATACCATGTCTGCTTTTCTACTTAGTGAATTCTCTTCCAGTCTCCAAAGTCCCAAATTTTCCATGACAATTTCTGGAGGCTATGAACATACAGAGTATACCTCATGTTATAATGCCCCCCTTACATTCTCTGATTTTTTTGTTTGTGTTTTGGCTTGCTCTCCTTGTGAAATTATAATATCACAGTGAAAGGCCATTCTATATACTTTTTCAGAAGATTTTTATAGTGTTGAGCATATAACTGAATTTTTTTTCTTAGATCATGAATCAGATACTCATGAAACAGTACTTTTTAAATGTCACTGTGCCAAGAGTTGAGGAGTGTGGTGGCCACTATTCCACTCCTCGTGGAGAGCATCATGTGGTGGAGGATTCCGTCCTACATCCAGGCGTTAAGTAAAGAGTTGCAAGGTTCTCTTAATGGAACCTCCTTTCTGAAGCCCAGTGCCACATAAGCCAAACCTTAAGTAATCATGCCACGTGTCTCAGAAGAGGTGACTCTTAAGCTAAAAATCTCAGAAAGAATAAGAATCATGCAGGTGAAATGTGCACCAACCACATTCTTCAGCTTTCCAAGGTGATTAAAAAAGACTTAGGGTTCACCTGAGGCCCAGAGCTGCACCATGCCTTTTCAAGAGCCTCAACGACAATCATGTACTCCTAAATCTTGGTAAGGTAGCTTTTCCATTAAGTCACATAGCTTTGCTTAGCCAATCTAATGATATCCAGGATGAATGCTATTTTCCTAAAGTCAATGAATCCATTCCCTTAATTATATTACCAAATATTTGACCTGAAATAAAAAGCCCTACATTGAATATAAGTATTTCCACAGCAGATACAATTTTATGTCATAATTACTTGTCTTGACAGTCTTTGTCATGAATAGGATTTGAAATCATACTTAAGAAGCAGAATACAATCTTATTAGGCATGAAGCAAAAGTTTGTCATCAAAAGAGAAGTCCAAGAAAGAACATTATTGTTTACTAAATGCACATTATGTGTCAGCCACCAGGAAATCTATTTTAAAGTCTCTAAAAATTCTATCGAGGTAAATACAATAATTCATTTTATAAATGAGAAAACAGAGGTTTCAGAGAGGTTTAGCATCGTCCCTCAGGATAACAGCAGACAGATTTGAAACCCAAGCTCATATCCATTTAAAGCCCAGTTCTTTCCTTTCATCAACCTCTTCATGGGGTTGATCAGTCAGATAGGTAAACTCTAACCAGGCTCCCCAGACCATGCCATGTCTCTCCCCTTTTCAGTGTTTTCCTATCTCTCTTTACTTCTCCATAATACAAATCACCACAACTTGTACCTATGTGTATTAGTTTGTTCTCATGCTGCTATCAAAAACTGTCCAAGACTGGGTAATTCATAAAAGAAACAGGTTTAATTGACTCACAGTTCCACAGGGCTGGGGAGGCCTCAGGAAACTTACAATCATGGAGGAAGGGGAAGCAAGCATGTCCTTCTTCACATGGTGGCAGGAAGGAGAAGTGCCAAGCAAAGGGGGAAAGCTCCTTATAAAACTATCAGATCTTGTGAGAACTCACTATCATGATTACAGCATGGGGGTAACTGCCTCCATGATCCAATTTCTGCCCACCATGTCCCTCCCACAACAAGTCAGGCTTATGGGAACTACAATTCAAGATGAGATTTGGGTGGGGACACAGCCAAACCATATCAATATGTATTTATTTCTATAATTCATTAGTTAATATCTACTTCTATCACAAGATTCCAGGCTCCAAAAGGGCAGTTCCGGTTTTATCCACCACATTTTATGCCCAGGGCCTGGCATATTGTTTGGGTTTAAAAAGCTCTTATCAAATAAATGACACTACTCCATGCAGTACACTTACTCCATGCATTCTGAAGCAAGAAACCTGGAGCTGTTGATCAAAGGCACTTCCAGTAAGAACAATGCAGTCTCAAATTGGTGAGAGATCTATAAATTGTCTGGGTGGTTTTGACAACACAATTGCCATCAGTTTTGAAATATTAAGGAACACTCTTCAGTAATCATTTACATCTTATCAAACTGTAATAAAAATATGTAATGTGTTAAGAAACTGTCAATGTACAAAGACATTTAAAATCTCTTAATGTCAGTTGCAACAGAATCGGTATAGCTTTATATAAATTATTTTAAAGTAAAAGAGATCTTAAAGATATGGATATTTTCAATCCTTTATATTAATTAAAGCTGTGTACACACACACAGAGAATTATACTTACTATGAAAATGCTGGGAAATGCTGATATTCAATTTAGGACAGTTTATTTCTAGTCAAGAATTTCTCTAAGTGTAGGGGTGTGTGTGTCTGTGTGTGTGTGTGTGTGTGTGTGTGTGTGTGTGTGTAGTAACAGTAGTTTGTTTAATTTGTTTTTATAAGCTCCTAGCTGGAAGCTGGCTCTGAAAAAAAAGTTCATAGACTTATGAAAATTCTATAATAAATTCCATACTTCTCCTAATTCTATGAAATTCTAGAATTGATAGAACTCTCACAGTGCTTGAGAATTTAGATATTAATTATGCCAGGATTATAACTTTTAACTTAGATTACAACAGGGATCTAGAACAATTTTATCAGTGGTCATATTATTATAAAATATTCAAAGGTAGGCTTAAATAAGCCCACTTGGTTTTCTTTTCCTTTGGTCCAGTTGTTTGTCTGATACAGAGCAATTTGGCATAACCCAAAGACTGGCTTTGTTATTCAAAGTAAGAAGATATTTTTTCCACCTTCTAGTAAGAAGTGAAATGCTCTGCACAAACTTATTCCATTCTTACAAAGTGAAGAAGGAAAGCTATTAAAATAAAACTATGCAATTTATTTCTTATAGCAACACTTAGTTTTATTACCCCCATTTTATAGATATGGGAAACTGGAACCCAGAGAGGTTAAATATAGCCAGTGTGCCAGAGCTGGTAACAGATGCAGTCAAGATGTGTCTTCTCTGGGACTTGGTTTACATACATGTAACAGAAAAAGTGGCTGTTCCATCTACATGTGCCTCAGATATGTGATAAATTGATAAATAAGTGTGATGCCTCTAGCACAGAGTTGATGATTGGTAGGCATTCACACATTATTAATAAATCTTATCTTAATTAATTAAATTTATTTTTGGCAGCACAGATAAAACCTATGTGCCCAAGGTGACAAGAATAAAGTTTTCTTCATCAGTCAATGAATTAGCAAGTGTCACAAAGTACTGCTGTGAAATTGGGTGCTTGGGGTACTGAAGGCTAGTAGCAGGCATGGATTCGGTCTCCAGGTATCCACTCCCTAGAGGAAGGGAAAAATTTCCAGTGGACAAGAAAGGGTATTCAAAACTTTGAGCAGTAAAAAATTGTTGAATTCTATAGGAAGCTTGGAAAGATAGTTAATATTGTCCATTAAATGTAAATGAACTTTACTGCATCATTAATTCATGAACAATCACCCTGCTATCTAAACAGTCAACATTTAAGCTTAAATTGATAAACAGTTCCTTCTTATCTTATCATTTGAAGTTCCTTATCTAACAGTTCCTTATCTTATCACTTGAAAGCTCTTTAACTCTTGAGTGTGGAGGCTGTGCACAGAGGAAATAAATATGCCAGCCCAAGAAACACCATCATGGGCTTTTCAGTGACAGTTGGGCCCTGAAGACAACTCTCAGCTTATGAAACACCATGGTTATTAAAGCTGACAAAGCTCTCAGAGGATCTTACCTCTCTTGTGACAATGTCTGATTTGACACCCAGGTTGCTTTATTTACTTTGTAGTGTAGTGCCTTAACTTAAAGAGTCATTTAGATGATCAAAGAGTTTAAATAGTACTACTAAGGTGGCTCACCTGCTGCCAACAAAAAAAAAGAGAAAAAAAGATTTTTTTTTTTTTAAAAAAAGGTCCCACTAGAAGAAATACTAGAGTGGAATTAAAAGCCCTTATTGGAGATCTAAATCAAATATTCAGTGGTCACCTCCACACAGAAATTGACCAAATCATAAATGTTGTGATTCTACACTTTGTTTACATATTGATTCCTGGGAAATCAAATAATTTGGGGTTAGGTTCCCAGACTTGCTAAACAATGTTTTTAAACTTATAGTTTAGCTGAAATACTCTCAGTTTTAAATTAAAATGTAAAATAGTATAAAACAATGCCATTACCTTATAGTAATATAACAAAATAGTGAGACCCTGTTGCTACTTCTATCCAGAAGGAGGTTTCCTTCCATGTGTGAGTGTGCATACACATGGTCAATGTGTGGATGTTGGTGAGGTGGAAACGTTACCTCCATGCACAAGCTGCCTATGGACATAGGATTTCTGCAAATCACATATGATCATTGGTTGTTTTTGCCTTCTAATTTGTCACAAGATTAGTGAGTATTCAATTAGAATCAAGATCTTGGACTTGTCCAATACGGTAGTCACTAGCTACATGTGGCTATTAAACACTTGAAATGTGGACAGGTAGAAATGAGATGTGCTATAAGTATAAAATGCACACTAACAACTTAGTATGAAAAAAATGTAAAATATCTCATCAATAATTTTATATTGATTACAGGTAGAATTATAATATTTTAATTGGGTTAAATATTGGGTTAAATAAAGATGTTATTAAAATTAATGTTACATGTTCCTTTTTTAATGTGGCTGCTAGAAAACTTACCATTACACATGTAGTTCACAATGTATTTCCATTGGACAGAGCTGCCTTAGAGCATAGTCAGGAGGCTTCTAGGGTTATTAGGAGGAACAGCCCCAAATAACTTAGAAATAAAGGTTTTATTTTAACTTACATAAAAAAGTTAACTTTTTTAAAAAAGGTTCCTCATTAAAAAATGCAATCAAAACCACAATGAGATACCACTTCACATTCAGTAAGATGGCTACAATCCAGAAAAATCCAGAAAATAACAGTGTTGGAGAGGATGTGGAGAAATTGGAACCCTTGTGCATTGACAGTGGGAATGTAAACGGTACGGCACTTCCTCAAAAAATTAAAAATAGAATTACCAGATGATCCAGGAATTCTACTTTTGAGTATATTTCCAAAAAAACCCCTGAAAGTAGGAACTTGAACAGACATTTCTATGCCCATCATACAAATGTTCATAGCAGCATTATTCACAAAAGATGGAAGCAACCCAAGTGTCCATGGATAGATCAATGGATAAACAAAATACGGTATATACATACAAAGACATAGTAATTAGCCCTAAAAAGAAAGGAAATTCTGACACCTGCTATGACAGAGATAAACCTTAAAGACATATGCTAAGTGAAGTAAGCCAGACACAATAGGATAAATGCTATATGATTGTTCTTGTACGAGGTACATAGAGTAGTCAAATTTATAAAGACAGAAAGTGGAAGAGTGGTTGCTCAGGCACAAGGGGAGAAAGGAATGGGGAGTTACTGTTTAGTGGACACAGAGTTTCAGAGTCACAAGATAAAAAATTTCTGGAGATGCATCGTGAGGTAGTAGTTGTGTTGAAGAAAACAATATTCTGACACTTTTTAAAATGGTAAGGAAGACTTTATTCAGACCATTGTGATAGATGTCAACACTATCACAACAGGAAGAAAGATTGGGTTAAACACCAAATACGGTACAGACAGCTGGGAATTACAGCTTTATGTACATCTTTCTGAAGACTATTCTGGCTACGTGAAGTTGACCAGTTCAGACTAGTGCTCACCTCCACTGCTTTAAATTCCTTATTTCTTTTAATACAGCTCCAGTTCTTATTAGTTTTGGTGTGTGTGTTTAGTGGGGCAGCCACATCATGGTATTGGTTGATACTGTGCAACAGGATATTTTCACACCTATTGCTGCTGAGCCTCTATTCTGTATGTTTGCACTGTGATTACTCAGAACCCTTACATTCTTCCTATGTAATTTCATATTACATTTGGGCCACTGTTATAGAGCTGTAGCAGTCAAAATATTTTACACAGTGAAACCCTGAGAGATGTTTTATAGGAATCTGCAATAAGATGGAAGGTGTTCTGGTTGTGGTGGGATAGTCCATCTCCCATCCACTACTCACTTCATGGCTTCTGCTTGTCCCTTCTGCGACCCATGTGGCATCTCTGTGGAAGTTAGGGTTCTGAGAAGTATAATTTGTCTTGAGCTATCCAAGACTTGTCTTATTTCTGGTATTACATCAGGTCCCTAAACCTTTAAAGCACCTCATCCTGATTCCAGGAATCATTGATGTAACAAGAGACTTGTTTACTGATAAAATCTATATTTAAGAACTATTTATGACACTTTCTTTTCTGCATTACATTGGTTTTTTTGAATGGTATCTGACTTTCCTGGTAATGAAAAGATCTTTCTGCTACAAGAAGATTCTAGAATTCTGTAGAAACAAGCAAATTGAAATGGTAGAAAAAGATAAAGATTTGAAAAATTTTAAATTTGGGGAAAACATCTAAATTCCAACCAAAGATATCTTTTAGTTATAAGTTATATCAGTGATTGTAACACGTGCTTTGTCTGGCTAGAATTTGCTGCTGTGGCTGATCCGTGACACTAATTTTCTAAAAGTAGCTGAACGAAGGAACTATAAAAGCTAGCAGTTTTCTTGTAGAGTTATTTACTTACTGGCAGAATAAAATGCACTGTTTCTGTAAATCTTCAACCCCTACACAGAACTGAGAATGTTAACAGTGCTGAAATTCTTAATAGTTTTTATCTTCCATGGCAAATGAAGTTAATTCAATTCAATTTGAGTCAGCGCACATTTATGAAAACTCTTACTGCAATACACTGGCCAAATGGTGGCAATACTAAGATATGTACGATGGCTGTGCCTTCAAGGAGTTCATATTCTAGAGGGTTATGCACTGTTTTAGAACTTCCAAAGGAAATCAGCCATAACTAATACAATTAGTATCAACTCTTAGAATGTTCCATAGTGAAAGAATAAAAGGGTCATTAATCAACTGGAGAAAAAGCTAGGGTTTTTGATCAACTAGAGATAACATCAAGCCACATTTGGTTGACAAGTTCACTATTTACAAATTACTTAACTGGCTCACCGCTCCATAGAGAAAAACACATTTGTAATCCGTCACAGAAGTTCAGGCCTGGGTCTGGATGTTTAAGTCACAGTATGTAATGTGGTGGGATGCATTTTCCTTAATGGGCATTCCATGACAGCTCACTAGCCAGCTCAGGAAGTGTGGAGATATGGAATTAAAATATTAGGGGCTTCTGATCTTGGCAACTGTGGAGTTCTTACTGACTCGGAACTTTTCCTGCACAGCACACTTATATCTGAAAGGACTGACTCTAAATGCAATATGCAATACACCTGAGTAACTGATTGCTAGAAAAACTAGAACTCCTGCTTCATATTTCTATGTAACAATAAGAAAAAAAAAGTCATGGAAGTTAAAACTATCCGTTAATGGCCAGAATGAAACATAAATATAACAGATGTTAAAATATATAAAATGTTTATTATCCCAAGATGTTCGGTGGTTAACTATGCACATTCTCTTTTGTTATGCAAAAACATGCAGGCACTTTAATGAACATTATAAGGATTCCTGAGCAAGTAAAAATGAGTGTGTCTTTTAGTTAACATACTGTATAACACCAATCAAATTTTCAATGGAATCATAAACATCTTCTACTTAATCATCTTGGCAAAAATTATGCATTTCGATTCCAAACACAATCCTGTTATTCCTCTACACAACTCAAACAAGTTTAATTCTTTTCCTTTTATTTATCCTCCTAAACACTGTATTACCAAAGATAGTTTTATACCTGAATGTACTATAAATTCATTCAAATTTCAACAATGGCTGAAATATGAATTACAGAGTTGTAATCACCTCTTCAATTTTTAAATATTCACTAA
Source organism: Homo sapiens (assembly GCF_000001405.40). Taxonomy (NCBI): domain Eukaryota; kingdom Metazoa; phylum Chordata; class Mammalia; order Primates; family Hominidae; genus Homo; species Homo sapiens. The sequence goes on along the minus strand of NC_000012.12, from coordinate 44,327,192 downwards.
TCTTTCCTATTGAATTTTCATTTTTTTTTGAGATGTTAAGGTTCTTAGAAGAGAGGATATGTATTTAATTACCTTTGTAGCCCCAGTACCTACAGTATAGCCAATAAATATTAAATACATAAAAATATAGGTAAATATATACAAATATAAGTACTTTATCAAGTTTTTTAATGACTTATCTTTTGTATTAGGTCAAATTGGTGACATTCTGCAGAGAGGCTGTTGAGAAACTGACTTCCAAGGCCTCCGCCTTGACTAGAGCTTAACATACGGCTCAGGCTAGAAAGAAGGAGGCTTCAGTATATAGGTAGCCTGTGAAACTCTACAGTTTGAAAAGGAGGACAGTGTGAACCTACTGAATTTTAAGAAACATAGAACCATTCATTTGGGCGACACATTTGGTGAATAGTGTGGTGAAGTTCCCCAATGAGGCCTGGATTGCAAAGGGCCTCATAGGACATTGAATGTTTTAAAGACAACAAAAGCCACAGAAGTTTTCCAAATAGGGGAGTGATATGATCAGAGCTGTTTTATAAAGGAAAACTCACAGTGGAAGATGGATTTGATGCCCTGAATTTCAGCACATTGCTCTTCATATGATCTGATGCAACATAGAATAGCTACATTCTCTTTTCCATATGACAGTCTTTCAAATACATGAGGGTAGAGAGCATGTTCCTACTGAAAGTCTATGCTTCAAGCTAAACACCTCCCTTTCCTCCATCAGTCCTCTAATATCATTCTCTAGGTCTCTCAAGATCCTGGATGTTGGTCTCTGGACACACTTTCCAGTTCTTCACTGTCTCATTTGAAACACAGAACATTCAGCTTAACATAAAAAGCAGATATCACAAAGAAAAAGATTGATACATTTAAAACAACTGTATGTTGAACACACCCTCTCATAAATTAAAATATGGATTTCTGCATTAATAACATATTTGGGCTTTCTAACATTCAGAAGCCAGGGTTCTTTTTTTTAAATAAAAAACAAAAAACAAAAAACAAAAACAAAAACAAAAACAAAACCAGGGTCTCACTCTGTTGCCCAGGCTGCTGGAGTGCAGTGTGGCAGGATTTTGGCTCACTGCAACCTCTGCCTCCCAGGTTCAAGCAATTCTCCCACCTCAGCCTCTGGAGGAGCTGGGATTCCAGGCGCACGCCACCACACTTGGCTAATTTTTGTATTTTTTGGTAGAGATGGGGTTTCACCATGTTGGCCAGGCTGGTCTTGAATCCCTGACCTCAAGTAGATCTGCCCCCCTTGGACACCCAGAGTGCTGGAATTATAGGCGTGAGCCACTGCACCCAGCCTTCACATGCCAGAGTTCTATCCTGACCTTTTTTATATGTTTTATATAAAATTTTCTATGAGCAGTGTTCAAGAATTTGTATACACGCATGGACACACCCACTCCACACCACATACAGACATAAACACACACATATCAGGTGATTCTTGGGTAGATTCAATCTTGAAAACAACTGTTGTAAACAATCTCAACAAATAAAACTCAGAACAAATATGTGTAACATATATAACAGGAAAAGGGGTAATTTCTTTAATGTGCAAGGAGCTATTACAAGACAATGAGAAAAATATTAACCATCCTAAGATAAAATTATGTAAAGGATGTGAACAACCAATTCACAAAAAGAATAAATATAAATAGCTATAAATAATATAATAAATAATATAAATATAAATAGTTGAGAAAAAATATCTCCACTGCACATCTTTCGTCCCTTGTCCTCAATTTTGAAATAGAAAAGCTCTGAAAATAAAGATTTTTCATCATTCATTCAGCAGCAAAACTGAACTGGACCTGATGGCAAAACCTGATAATAAGGGAGAATATGAATGGCCAATGTCTGCCCCCACTTAGTGTGGATATTCATAGTTTTCACTGTAGAAAGATGAAGGGGCTTGTTTGTTTAAAGCTTTTAAATCTCAGGTCCCCTGAGGTGGTTGTACAATATGCAGTTCTATATTACCTTGCTAAAAATCTAAACAAAATCCAAATTTTAAAAGAATCATTGAACTAGAGATCATGGACATGTGTAATTAAAGAAATGCATGTCAAAATGAAATATTCTTTTTTGTCAATCAAATTGGAAACTACTAATATAAATACAGTCCTCTTTGTTGGTTTAAGGAATGGTTGCCTTTTTACTCTTACTATGGAATGAGAGATGAAATAACCACTAGAGAAAAATTTGGCTTAGCTTATTATAAGTCATAATGTTCAACCAACAATTCCACTTCCAGGAATTTATCTCAAGAAAATAATCACCATATCTTGTTCATTGCTGCACCATAAATAGTAATAAAATGGAAACAAATATTTAACAATAGAGAATCTGTTAATACAGTTACAGATAAAATTACAATGCATTCATTAAAATGATCTTGGGAAAGAATAGTTAATGACATGAGAAATGTTAGCAACATATTGTGACCTGAAAAAGCAGGTTTGCAAAACAGTAACATAGAAGATAATTCTATTTTTGTAAAAATATATATGAATTATGTGCACAGATTGAAGCCTAGAATGATGGATTTATCCATAAGGTTGTATCAGGGTCATTTTTGTTTCCTTTTTACTATTTAGTCTTTCAATTTTTTTTCCCAAAGAACCTGTAATGTTTTTGTTACTTAAAATGTCAACACATTTTTAATGTAGTACCCTGAACTCAACATAATTCTGCTGAAATATTCTGACCATGAAAAAGTAACATGAAGTTATCATTTCCCTTACCCTGGACACTTCCGTTAATACAGCCCAAGTTTACAGTATAAAGGATTAACTATAATTTAGTGCAGTGTAAACAGGCTCTAATATGTTATAGAGCATAGTAATGATATTGAAGATGGTGAAAATAGTACTACTAATAATAGTATCATCATAGGAAAAGAAGGGGAAAGAAAAGAAATTAATGAAATTACAGGCAAGCAGAAGTCAACTTGCCAACAACTCTCCAAAGCAATCCTTTCATATGTCTCACCTCCTTTTCCTTCCATAATTATATGAGAATGGCTCAAGAATGCAAAAGCTTTCTGATTTTAAAAGATGGGGCAGGTTCTACCTCAAGATAACAATTTGAGATACTATATTTACTTCTCTTTTCTCTCTAAATACCATTAAAATTATTGAAATGATGTCAAAATGAGGTGAAGAAAGAGGATCAGTAATGAGGCAGGAAAAAAATAGAGTATACCACAAATAGCTCCTATATATGTAAATGGTTCTAGAGCACAGCAAAAGACAGAAGGGCTTCAGCTTATTTATAAGACTAACATAACCATGATTTTAAAAATTGCAGGAAAAAAAGAATACACACACCTCATTTATAAATATAGATGCAAAACTGGATTCAGAAGTATCTTAAAAGAATAATGCAGTACCACAAAGTGGGACACACCGTAGTAATGTAAGTTTGGGATAAGGTAAGAAATCTATTCTTAAAGTTTGTTACATTAATAGTTCAAAGTAGAAAACATACTTAAAGAAAGCACATGAAATTACCTAGAATGTAAAAAGGTGCTCTATAAAATTCATCATAAATTCCTGATAAAACAATAAGTTATTTTCTTAATGTTTTAGCAGGTACCAACAGCAAAAGTGATACTACATGGTCAAATGGGTAAGAAAAAACCCTAAAACCTCAATAAAGAAATAGGATGAGCCCGTGAGCTGGATGTTCATAAAACAATATGAATATTCATCAAGCATCTAATAGAGGAAATAAGATCCATCTAACTAATAATAATAAAAAAAGAGCAATAGGGTATGTTTGACTATTGGCTAGCAAAAGATTTAAAAAATCAGTTAACACTCAGTGTTGGGAAAGATGTGGAGAAAATCAAGTGTATTAGTTTCCTATTCCTGCTGTAACAAAGTACCACAAACTTAGTGCCTGAAAACAACAGAACTTTATTATTTTAAAGATCTAGAGGACAAAAGTTCAAAATGGGTCTCACTAGTCTAAAATCAAGTTGTTGACAGGGCTGTGTTCCTTCTGGAGGCTCTAAGGAAGAATGTGCTTCTTTGCCTTTTATTGATTGTAGAGGTCACCTACAGTCTCTGGCTTATGGCCTTCACTCCTACCTTTAAAGCCAGCAATGTAGGGCCAAGTCCTTCTCACACTGCTATCTCTCTGGTTGTCTTCTGCTTCCCTCTTCCTCTTTTAAAGACTCCTGTGATTATATTGGGCCCTCCTGGATAAGGAAATTTAAGGAAATCTCCCATTTTAAAGTCAGCTGATTAGCAAACCTAATTCTAGTATAACCTTAATCCCCCTTTGCCATGCAACTTAACATATTTGCAGGATCCTGGGAGTAGGGTATGAGTATCTTTTTTGGTGGGGGGCCGGCCAGCGGGGAGCACATTATTCTGCCTACTATACCAGGTATTTCCAGTCACTATTGGTGTGAGTGTACAGTATATTCTTACAACCTATCTGGCAGTTTGGCATTAAAATGTCCATGTAGGTTACTTTGCATCGTGAGACTAAAATTAAATATTAATTAGATTTGCAAGTTCCTTTTTATAGCATAGTTTTAAACCATATCTCAAAGACGTTCAAAAATAGTTACATTGGCTCTCTTTCCTGAAATGTAGTGGTGATGACCTACTATTCATGGTGTCCTCAAGCAAATTCCAGGCCATGCAGAGATGAAAGTAATTTTCTAAAAACATTTTTTAGAATTGGGCTTACTCTTACTGATAGATAAGGGAATCAGGAAACCTTTTAGTAGCGAAATGAAGCTTTCTGCAACTCTGAGAAGAAAACAGAGAGGGTGTATAAACACTCTAGATCTCTGGGAATCAATTTTAAAAAGATGTTCTATCATTCATTTACATTTTTGCCTCGTTAGGTCAGAAAATACACACTTTATGACCTAAGGAATCCTAGAGGTCAAAAGAATATGTCTCAGAGCTACTCACCACGCAGATGCAGAGAGAACTAATACCCGAGCCATGCTACGAAGTAACAACATCTGGGTAGATATCCATGGACAGAGCTGGTTGGCCGTTAGATATCTCTAACATAGCTTCTCTGACATAAGTCGCCAATTCCTTTTATTCAAATGAAATTACGCCCTTGTTACACTTCATTCTCTTTCTCCCATCCCTACCCAGGTCATTATGGCTAGAGAATTTTCCAGTTTAGAAAAAAATCTCATTTTATGAGAATCCCTGTTTCAAGTTCTCTCATTTTATTGTGAAAGCCTACAAACTATCATTCTCTTTCCATCAAATAAACCATGATTTTCATTTTATTACAGAGAGCATAGTAAATGCATATTTAAAGATACATTTGCCACTAAGCTTGAAACCTTTAGTGATTCTCTATCTGGATATACAATACACACTAATGTTATTAATATTGAGTAGCTTGCAGTTGAGAATACATAGTTGTTATTTTTCTAAATTAATAATCTATGACTGAGCTCAAGATTTATGAGCTCTTAAAAGTTGTACTTCGTTAGGCATAGTTTTTTCACCCATCATAATATAAGTTTTTACTCCTAATGTGAAAGTCTGTGATTGCAATTTTCCATCTCTCCATTCTCAAGGAAGCACCTCTGGGTGGGAGTCACCAGATTCATCCCTGTCGGCAGTAGCAAAATGAATCCAGATTTTATCATAATATTTTTACCTCTTTTCCTTCTTCTAGGGATTAGGAAAGACAACATGGGGTCTGCCATGTTCAGAATCTCTTCCTGGTGACTTTGCATTCAGAATTTTCCTAGCTTGCTTCATAATACACGGAAGAACAATCATACCCCCTGATTTTGCTACTCTTTGCAGCTGTCTCTAGGAGATATGCCAATGGCACGCATAGAGGATACCCATTTCAACTAAAAGAGTTACCAGAAGAAAAGCTGGGCTCAGAGATGTATAAAGGAGTCAGCACAAACAATCTACTCTGGGTCTATGATGATTGTGCTTTGTAAAATACTATGAAAAGTGAATTACATCATAAACACTCCTACAGCTTACAGTAAATTTAATGCAGGAATTGTCTAATGTCAACAGGCTTTAAATAATCCCTGTAAAACAAATCTTTCAGTTTCTGATCAATTCAAATACAATTATCACATAGAAAATTTATCTTAAAAATAGCTCACACAAGTACATTGATCCGAAATTCTAAAGAAATGAAAAAATAAAATTGCTCCCAGTTGAGAATACTCTAAAATCTTTTCTTTAAAATGTGAATATTGAGTCCCAATGACCTGAAAGGAACTAGTTTAGGTGCTGGTCTAAATTCAGCCAACATCTGTTGAATATTCTCTGTGTCTGACGTGAACTATTCTAGGCAATTCTTACAACTTTTTAGTAAAACAATTAAATACATCCAAACAAATTTAAATGGAAGAGTAAAATAACTCTAATCGAAATATTTAAAAATTGCCATGAACAAATAATAAAAGAAGCACTAAAGTTTATTTGAGAGAGGCAGATGAGACTTCACAGAGAGGACAGCATATAAGCTGAGGGTTGGATGGCTGAGGGCAGTGAAGCACGCACACTGGGGAGATGCCCTTGTATTGCACATGCAAAGGTCTGTACTATTTTAAAAAGGCAGAATTCGGTAATCAACAAGTATTTCAAAATTTAATAGAGTGTAAAATGCAAGAGGTGGGGGTAGGAGAGGGAAGGTGGTGATAATGACCAGGAAGAGAAGGTCAGAAGCTAGGCATGAGCTAGATGATAAAAGGCCTTGTATAGATGACATGCAAATGAATTATTATTTAAAGAATTTTGAAGATAAGATTTTGGTGTTAAAAAGATTACTTTGGAATAATGGAGTAAGACCAAAAGAAGAGAAAGGGCTTTGTACTAATATAGGCAAAAGTTGATGGTAACATGAACTGTAAGGTATAGGTGATAAGAGTCTAAAGGAGGGGCAGATTCAAAAGATATTTGGCAAGAAGAATATATAGGCATGATGGCTGACTGGAAGATAAGTAGGAAAGAGAAATCTTGGATTTTTAAAAGGTTTTTTGGTGTGAGTGACTGGATAGATAACTGTTTGAAGGGTTGATGATAGCTTGGTTTTAGACATGATGAACCAGAGATGCCCACGTAAACATCCAGGTGGATAGAGCTGGTTGCCAGTTAGATATCCAGGTCTGAAATTCAGCAGAAGTCTTAGGGCTTGAGGAAGATTTGAGAAAGACTAGCCTATTGGGAGGCTGTTAGGCCATGGCAGTGAACAGAACTGCCTTAAAAAATAACTTGGATGAGAAGATAAGGAAACACAGGGCAGAATCACAGAGTATGTATAATGGACAGCTAGAGGAAGGAAATTTGACAAACTGGACTGGAAAGAAAGAGACATATAGTTAGGTTTTGAGCCAAGAAAAAAAATAGGTAATTTTATGAAAACCAAAGAATGAATTTTAAATATTGAATTAACTGGTAGTCAGAAGACAAAGTGAATGCAGCCACCAGATCTTATTTCTACACTCATTTAATAAATGTAAGAACTTAGCACTTTTGTATTTACGTCATCAGAAAATGCATTATTTTTCTTCCAAGACAGCGGATTAGAAGCTTGCAGTGTGTCTTAGCCACTTGGAAACAGCAAAATCATACATTTTAATTCAAATGCATGAATTTTAATTCAAAAGGGAAAACGGGAACCCATTAAGACAGTGAAGGACGTCCCAGACCCCAGGGAGGAGAAGGTGGGCAAGCAGCCCCTGGGAAGGCATTTGGTAAATAAAAGTGAGTGAAGACCCAGAACAGGGGGTGGGCAGAGAGCCTCCCTCTGTGAGTCACTTTTCCAATGGGGATCCATGCAACCCAGGACAAGAAAGAGCATTTTGTTTCTCCCAAGCCTTGGGACTAGCTTGGGGTGAGGCTTGGGGACATTGAGAGGAAAAGATACCAGGAATTCCTGCAGGCATTTTCCCAGACTCAGGATGGAGAGCAGGATGCCATTTTTAATCCAGGTGCATACAAAGTCAGTAATTCTTTGACAACCCAGCAGCATGGCCATGCAGGCATTATAGTCTTGGATCAGAGATTGCAGAGCTTGCTCTGGTGCTGAGTAGAGGCCTCCATAGCCAGAATTGAATGGTGCGTGTGGACAGTGCCCCAGTTGTAGGTGCTGGAATTGTGCTCCCCGTGTGTAGTTCTAGGGTGAGAGGGAAGCTGCTACAGCGACAGTTTCTCTTGAGCAATGAGACTTGTAGCCAGGCCTAGCTTGGCCACCTGGAAATGGCCTGTGTGTGACCTTGCTGGGAGCTCCATCCTGCTCACCTGAGATCATGGTGCAGGGGACACTCTCTGCTCCATGCCTAGGCAGATTTCCAGGCATTTGGAGCACCCACTTACATGAATTTGCATCCTGAGTCATCCCACCCTCTCTGTGCCTAGATTGTGGTGCAGCAGAGACCTCTCTGCTCCATGCCTAGGCAGTCAGAGCACCCACTCTCCTGGATCAGTAGGCTGAGCTGCCCCACCCTTCCTGTGCATAGACTGGGATGCAGTGGGGTCCTCTCTGCTCCATACCCTGGCAGATTTCTGGCCATTGAGAACACCTGCTCTTCTGGATTACCAGCCTGAGCCACCCCACCTTTCCTGTGCATAAATTGGCTTGTAGCAGGATTCTCTCCACTTCATGCCCAGGCAAATCTCCATGCAGATGGAGCACCCTGTTGCCTGGATCAGCAACCTTAGCCACCCTACCTTTCCTGTGGATAGATTAGGGTGTAGCAGGGCCCTCTCTGCTACACATCCAGGCAGAACTCCAGGTATTCAGAGCACCTACTCTCCTGGACTAGTAGCCTGAGCCATCTCACCTTAACGTACATAGATTAGAGTGTAGCAGGGCCTCTTCTGTTCCACGCATGCAGGCAGATCTCCAGACAATCAGAGCACTTCCTATCATGGACCAGCAGCCTGAGTCTCCCACCCCTCCTGTGCATAGATTGTGATGTAACAGGACCCTCTCCACTCCATGCTTAGGCATATCTCCAGGCATCTGAAGTACCCCCTTGCCTGGGTCAGTGGCCTGAGTTGCCCCACACTTTCTGTGGAGAGACTGTGGTGCAGTACGGCCCCCTATGCTACATGCCCAGGAAGATCTCCAGGTGCATCCACTCTACTGGATTAGGAGTTCGGGCCGTCACCCCTCCCCATGCAGAGAACTTAGGGCCAAGCAGGTTACCAAGCTCCATGCCTAGACATACCTCTGGGCGCTAGGTGGCCACGCATTAGGTGCTGGTGCTAGTACCTGCCATTGAGTGGCTGTAGGTGAGCCTGCCCAGTCCAGGCCCTACTCTCTTGGTTCCCTCATGTGGTGGTGAGTAGGGAGCTAAGACCACTGTGCACTAAACAGTTCAGCCCATTGCCTGCAGCATCAGAGACCTCCCAGTAAACAAGGTTGAAATATATACCCGTTCACGTTGGCCAGAGCTGACTTTTACCCATAAGTGCCATCTACTGGCCTGTAGGTAGAACCACACAGTCCAACATAAAACCAGCTGACAGAAGTGCATAGGGCTATAGAAGCAAAGCCAAGGCCAGGCTGGTGGATCACCTGAGGTCAGGAGTTCGAGACTAGCCTGGCCAACATGGTGAAATCCTGTCTCTACTAAAAATACAAAAAATTAGTCAGGTGTAGTGGCAGGCACCTGTAATCCCACCTACTTGGGAGGCTGAGGCAGGAGGATTGCTTGAACCCTGGAGGCAGAGGTTTCAGTAAGCTGAGATTGCGCCATTTGCACTCCAGCCTGGGCAACAAGTGTGAAACTTTGTCTCAAAAACAAAAACAAAAACAAAAAAATGAAGCAAAGCCAAAAGACCCTAGCCAACATTCTTTACAGTTACACCCACTAGGGAGAAAAACAAAGAAAAATTAAAAAAAAAAACATATATATATATATAATAGGGAAAGAAAGGGGAAAATCCTATTCACATGAAAATATTAATAATTACAAAAATTAGAAGTGCCAGTGTCTCCAGATGAGAAAGAACCAGTGCAACTTTTCTCATACCATGAAAAATCTGAATATTGTGACTCCACCAAAGGATCACACTAGATCTCCAGCAATGGTCCCTGACTAAAACAGACACTCAGAAATGACGGATTAAGAATGCAAAGCTTGGATTGCAAGGAGGCTCAACAAGATTCAAGACAAGGATGAAAGCCAAAAAAAAAAAAAAAAAGAAAAAGAAAAAGAAATTTCTGAAGAAATCCAGGAAATGAAGAAGGAGATAAACATCTTTAAAGAAAATCAGTCAGAGCTTCCAGGATTGAAAAATTCAATTAAAGAATTTCAAAATACAATTGAAGGTTTTATCAATATACTACACCAAACAGAAAAAGAATTACAGAGCTAGAAGACTAGTCTTTTGAATTAATCAAGTCAGACTAAAATAAAGAAAAAAAATTTTAATGAACAAAGTCTGAAAAATATGGGATTATGTAAAGCAAACAAATTTATAAATTACTGGCATTCCTGAGAGAGGAGGAGAAAAAGTAAACAATCTGGAAAACATATTTGAAGCAATAGTACAAAGAGTGTCCCTAGTATTTTTAAAGAGGTAGACACCCAGGAACAAGAAATCCAGAGAACACCTGTGAGATACCATACAAAAAGAACATCATCAAGGCATATAGTCATTAAACTGCCCAAGGACAATGCTAAAGAAAAAATCTTAAAGGCAGCTAGAGAAAAAGTTCAGACCATGCACAAATGGAATCCCATCAATTTAAAAGCATATGTCTCAGCTGAAATATTACAAGCCAGAAGAGATTGGGGGCCTATTTTCAGCATCCTTAAGGGAAAGAAATTTCAACCAAGAATTCCATATCCCATCAAACTAAGCTTTATAAGCAAAGTAAAAATACAATGTTTTCCAGACACCCCCAACAATAAAAAAACGCTAAGAGAATGTATCTCCATTAGACCAGGCTTAAAAGAGGTCCTTAAGGGAATTTTAAAAATGGAAACAAAATAACAATACCTGCTACCACAAAAATACATGTAAGTCTATAGTTCACAGACCCTATAGAGCAATTATATAACAGGAACTACAAAGCAACCAGTTAATAATTTCACCATAGGATTAAAACCACACATGACAATATTAACCTTGAGTGAAAATAGTCTAAATGCTTCACTAAGAAGACACAGAGAGTGGTAAACTGGATTAAAAAGTCTGTCTCCTGTCTTCCAGAGACCCCTCTCACAGGAAATGACACTTACAGGCTCAAAGTAAAGAACTGGAGAAAGAAAGATCTATCATGAAAATGGAAAACAAAAAAGAACAGGGGTTGCTATTTTTATATCATTGCTATTTTTATATCAGATAAAACAGACTTTAAGCCAGCAATAATAAAATAGGAAAAAGAAGGACATTATATAATGATGAAAGGTTCAATTCAACAAGAAGATTTAATAATCCTAAGTATATGTGCACCCAACATCGGAGCACCCACATTAATAATACAAATACTCCTATATCTATGAAAAGCCTTAGCCCACCACACAATAGTGCTCAGCCATAAAGCAAGTCTCAACAGATTAGAAAAAATAGAAATCATACCCACCATATGCTCTGACCACAGTGGAATACAAATAAAATCAAAACCAAGAAGGTATCTGAAAACCACACAATTACTTGGAAATTAAACTACTTTTCTCTGAACAATTTTTGGGTAAACAATGAATTTAAGGCAGAAAGTAAAAAATTCTTTGAAAGAAACGAACAGTCAACACAACATAGCAAAATCTCTTGGATGAAGCAAAAACAGTGTTGACAGGAAAATTTATAGCTCTAAACATCTACTTCAAGAAGTTAGGAAGATCTCAAATTTACAGTTTGGTATCACATCTAGAGGAACTAGAAAACTAAGAATAAACTAACTCCAAAGCTAGCAGAAGAAAAGAAATTATTAAAATAAGAGCAGAATTGAATGAAATTCAGACCCCAAAATCCATACAAAGCATCAATGAACCCAAAAGTTGGCTCTCTGAAAGACGAAACAAGACAGATAGACTGCTAGCTAGATTAACAAATAAAAGAGAAGATCCAAAAAAGTGCAATTTGAAACAACAAAGGTGATATTACAACCAATTCCACAGAAACACAAAAGATTCTCAGAGAATATTATGAACACCTCTATGCACACAAACTAGAAACTCTAGAAGAAATGGATAAATTCCTGGAAACACACAAGCCCCAACAGTGAATCAGGAAGAAATTGAAACATTGAACATACCAATACCCAGTTACAAAATTGAATTAGTCAAAAAAACCTACATACAAAAAAGCTCTGGATCAGATGGATTCACAGCTGAATTTTACTACATGTACAGAGAAGAGCTCGTACTAATTCTATTGAAACTATTTCAAAAAATGGAGGAGGATGGGCTCCTGCCTAACTCATACTATGAAGCTAGTATCACCCTGATACCATAAACTGATAAAGGCACAATGTAAAAAGAAAACTAGCCTGTAGTCCCAGCTACTCAGGAGGCTGAGGCAGGAGAATCCCTTGAACCCAGGAGGCGGAGGTTGCAGTGAGCTGAAATTGCGCCACTGCACTCCAACCTTGGCGACAGAGTGAGACTTTGTCTTAAAAAAAAAAAAAAAAAGAAGAAGAAACTACAGGCCAATATCCCTGATAAACATAGACACAAAAATCCTCAAAAAAAGAAAAAAAACTGCCAAATGAAATCCAGCAGCATATCAAAAAGTTAAGTCACCACAATCAAGTAGGCTTTATTCCTGAGATGCCAGTTGGTTCAACACACAAAACTAAATAAATGTGATTCACCACAAAACCAGAATTAAAAACCAAAACTGTATGATCATCTTAATAGAAGTATAAAAGGCTTTTGATAAAATCCAACCTCCCTTCATTATAAAACCTCAACAAATAAGCCCTTGAAGGAACATACATCAAAAAAATAAGAGTCATCTATAAAAAATCTACAGTCAACATCATTCTGACTGGGCAAAAGCTGGAAGTATTCCCCATGAGAACTGGAACAAGACAAGGATCCTGTTACCAACCCTATTCAACATAGTGTTGGAAGTCCTAGCCAGAGCAATCAGGCAAGAGAAAGAATAAAACGCATCAATAGGAAAAGAGCAAGTCAAACTATCTCAGTTTTGCAGACAATATGATTCTATGCCTAGAAAACCCTAAAGCCTCTGCCAAAGGCTCCTAGACCAGATAAACAACTTTAGTAAAGTTTCAGGACACAAAATCAGCATATAAAAATCAGTACCATTTCTATACACCAAAGAGGTTCAAGCTGAGAGCCAAATCAAGGACATAATCTCACTTACAATACCCACCCACACAAAAAAGTACCTAGGAATACAACCAACTAAGGATATAAAATATCTCTACAAGGAGAACTACAAAACACTGCTGAAAAAAATCAGAGATGACACAAATGGAAAAACATTCCATGCTCATAGACTGAAAGAATTAATGTCATTAAAACGTCCATACTGCTCAAAGTAATCTGCAGATTCAACACTATTCCTTCAAACTATCAATGTCTTTTTTCACAGAATTATAAAAAATTATTCTAAAACTCATATTGAACCAAAAGAGAGCCTGAATAGCCAAAGCAATGCTAAGCAAAAAGAACAAAGCCAGAGGCATCACACTACCTGACTTCAAACTACACTACATGGCTACAGTAATCAAAACAGCATGATATTGGTACAAAAACAGACAGACAGAATAATAGATCTGAAAAGTGAACCCAGAAACAAGCTGCACACCTACAGCCATCTGACCTTTGACAAAGTCAACAAAAATAAGCAATAAGGAAAGAACTCCATATGTAATAAATGGTGCTGAGATAACTGGATAGTCATATGCAGAAGAATGAAACTGTCCCCCTACTTTTCACCATATAGAAAAACTAACTCAAGATGGGATTAAAGATTTAAATGTAAAATCTCAAGCTATAAAAATCATAAAAGAAAACCTAGAAAATAACATTGTAGATAACAGGATTGGCAAAGAACTTATGACTAAGTCCTCAAAAGCAACTGCAACAAAGCCAAAAATTGACAAGTGAGACCTAATTAAATAAAGAGCTTTCGTACAGCAAAATGAAAAGCAGAGTAAACAGACAGCTCACAGTATTGGAGAAAATATCTGCAAATTATGCATCCAACAGAGGTTTAATATCCAGAATCTGTAATATACTTAAACAACTTAACAAGCAAAACACATATAATCTCATCTAAAAGTGGGCAAAAGAACATGAACAGACACTTCTCAAAAACAAAAGACATACAAGGAGCTAACAAGCTTATGAAAAAATGCTCATCATCACTAATCATCAGAGAAATGCAAATCAAAACCACAATGAGATACCATCTCACATCTGTCAGAATGGCTATTATAAAAATAAATAACAGATGCTGATGAGGCTGCAGAGAAAAGGGAATGTTTATGTACTGACGGTAGGAATGTAAATTAGTTCAGCCCCTTTGGAAAGCAATTTGGAGATTTCTCAAGGAACTTAAACAGAACTACCATTCAACTCAGCAATCATATCACTGGGTATATACTCAATAAAAAATAAATCATTCCATCACCAAAAAGACATGTGCACTCACATATGTATCACAGAGCTATTCACAATAGCAAAAGACATGGAATCAATCTAAGGGCCCAACAGCGGTGGATTGGATAAAGAAAATGTGATGCATGTACACCCTGGAATATTACACAGCCATGAAAAAGAAAAAATCATGTCCTTTGCAGCAACATAGATTCATCTGAAGGCCGTCATCCTAAGTAAATTAACATAGGAACAGAAAACCAAATCCTGCATGTTCTCACTTATAAGTGGGAGCTAAACATTGGGTACATATGAACATAAAGATGGCAACAAGAGATACTGGGGATTACTAGAGAGGGAAGGGAAGGGACAAGGGCTGAAAAACTGAAAATCTACTTATTGGGTACTATGCTCACTACCTAGGTGATAGGATGATGCACACCATAGATGATAGGATCATCATCCTATGATCATTCATAGGATCATTCATCAACATCAGCATCACACAATATACTCATGTAACAAACCTGCACAAGTACCTCCTGAATCTAAAATAAAAGTTGAAATTATTAAGAAAAATAATGTACCTTGGCCTCCATGACCTTTTCCTTCCCCTGGCTCTTGCCCAGAAACCCATCTGGCATGTAAAGAGGAGGATTGACCTGGCCATCAAATGCCAAAAGAATGGGAGGAAAAATATATATATATATATACACACATATATATATACACATATATATACATATATACATATATATACATATATATACATATATACATATATATACATATATACATATATACATATATATACATATATACATATATACATATATATACATATATACACATATATACATATATATATACATATATACACATATATACATATATATATACATATATATATTTAATATTAACTGAAAATTTATTGGGAAGCTGAAGCTGGATGTAAGATGTAACATTATGTATAATACAGCAAAATTGTTTTGAAAATCCTCTCTGTTACAATTTCTGTTGGCTGTGGCAGCTGTCATCTCTACGTCCTCCCTCTTTCTTTCCCCATAACAAGTCTTCTCAACCTTCTGCATAGGCAGGAATACTCACCTAGGTTCCTGAGCTTCTCCAGTTTGCATCTACACCCACCACCCTATTCATTAAAACAAAAGATCTTTCTTGGCATTCACCCTCTTTAGAAGGCCCAGGAAGGGATTATAAACAACTACTTATCTTTTTTCTAGACACATTTTTGTGTGTAAATTTATTTTGTTATAAAACTGAGATATATGTACCTCCTTGATTTCCTGCTGTTTCTCTGCTTTAGACCTTATTCGACTTGCCAAATGAATGTACTCAGCTACTGAAATCAAAGGTTGAACAAACGGTAATCTCTCAGATATAAATATCGTTTTCAGCATACATATATGTATATACATATATATATATACTCACATAAAAATTGAGAAAAATGTATCCAGAATATATTTAGTTTTATTTTTCAGCTTTCCACAAATACACAACAGTAGTGATATAGTTTTATAGGAGAAATTCAAAATTCTGAACAATTCCCCAAACATCTTCAAATGCAATAAACTGAGACTATCATCTAGCAGTTTAGAATTTTCTTGCAGTTCTGTCATGTACAGCCATCTGATCAAAGCAATAGCAAACATTCACTTATTACCAGAGTTACATGAGAGCTGAGAAATCATAGTCTAATTTTAAACTCGTATTTCCAGGCAGAATCCCCTAGTGATTCTCATACTACTAGATGTAAGAGGAAGACCCAAGAATCTGCATTTTTAAGCAGAACCCAGGTGCTTCTAATGCAGGTAACTATGATTGCAAGAATCATCTGTAATGATTTAAAGGAACATATATCCCAGGCACCATTACCCACTTACTAAACAAGAAACTCCTGGAGCTCTTCTGATCCAGAGAACTCACATCTCTGTAAAGGTTCCGGTGATTATTTTGTGTGCTTGTGAGAGACGGAGTTTCGCTCTTGTTGCTCAGGCTGGAGTGCAATGGTGCAATCTCAGCTCACCCCAACCTCCGCCTCCAGGGTTCAAACTATACTCCTGCCTCAGCCTCCAGAGTAGCTGGAATTATAGGCATATGCCACCACACCTGGCTAATTTTGTATTTTTAGTAGAGATGGGGTTTCTCCATGTTGATCAGGCTGGTCTTGAACTCCCGACCTCAGGTGATCCACCCGCCTCGGCCTCCCAAAGTGCTGGGATTAGAGGCGTGAGCCACTGTGCCCTGCCCCCAGTGATTCTTATCATCAGATAACAGTGAGAATCACTGCCTTAGAGTATGCCTCTATTTGTAGGTTATGGCTACATTGTTTCTCCTACTCCAAATTCTTTATATACCGTCATATTACTATAGTTTTTCTTAGTTAAAACCAAAGGTCTGAATGATCAATTGTAATTCAAAGAAAAACTGAAACATTTTTCAACTAAATTAATTTTCTTCTATCCACATTATGTACTTTTGACATGCAAAAACATCATACTTCAAGCATTTAAAAAAAATTGACCATCACAAAAAAATCTTGTAACAAGAGGAAGGAAAAAACTGTCATGCTATCAACGAGAAAAGTGGATTCCTAGAAACAAGCTGACTTAACTAAGGTCACACTGCCACTAAGAACTATGCAGCCCTGACTTTAGTCTATTGCAAGAGTGTTCCCGTCATTCACTAAACTTCCTATCACCTGCAATGTGCTTTGTTTTCAACTTTGTATACAGCATATTATTTCATTTTATATGCACAACAGTAAAACAAGTTATGAAAAAAAGTATGGTCTTTGAAGTCAGACAGATCTGTTTTTTTTTTTTTTTTAATTCTCATTCTGCTGAATCCAGACTGTATCTGTGTGCCTTAGGAAATTCCCATTTTCTTCTCATTTGTAAAGTTATAAATAATATTAATAATATTATCCTTATTGGAAGGTTTTGTAAGATTAAATGAAATAAAGTACATCTAAGCATCCAGGACAGTGCCCAGTACATATTAAGTGCTCAATGAATGTTGGCCTTTTAGTTTTTCTGCCTTCTTCCCTCCCTCAACTCCTGTCTTTTTAGTCCAGTAGTGTTTTCATTGCACCATTCTGCCCATCTTAGTAGCTTGTTCCTCATTTCACTGTGCAGTGTTCTCATATGGTCTCCTGTTACTGGATTCCACATTTAATCTAACTAGACTTGACACTGAGCCTCTTGGACAACATTCTCCAACGTGCCTCTTCACGTCCAACTCCAGAGTTAATAAACCTTGACTTAGAAACTGCCCGTTGGGGTAGTGGGTAGAGGTTCAGAAGACCCAGCTTCTACATCAGGTCCTGCCACTGACTGACTTTATGACCTTAGGCAAATTAAAGAACCTCCCTGGGCTTCAGCTGTAAAACTCAAGATATGAAAAAGTGATCCTAAATTTTCCTCCTGCTCTAAAATTTCATGACTTCATGATATTAATGAACTTGTCGGTCTAACAATAGCTCTTTTTCATTTCTTATTTTAGGCATGAGTTTAAAATGAATGCTCTGAATTATAGAGGATTGTTATACTGGCTTCCATGATTCCATTGCCTACAAAGTTCTTTTGTAATTTGTTCCTTAGCTTTATCATTGTAACTTAAAAAGCTCATAGAGGAGCCCATAGAAATACTTCATATCCCTGACAGCATCCATTAAAAATAGTTACAGGCCGGGCGCAGTGGCTGACGTCTATAATCCCAGCACTTTGGGAGGCCAAGGTGGGCGGATCACGACGTCAGGAGATCGAGACCATCCTGACTAACACGGTGAAACCCCGTCTCTACTAAAAATACAAAAAATTAGCCGGGCGCGGTGGCAGGCGCCTGTAGTCCCAGCTACTGGGAAGCCTGAAGCAGGAGAATGGGGTGAACCCGGGAGGCGGAGCTTGCAGCGAGCCGAGATGGCGCCACTGCACTCCAGCCTGGGCGACAGAGCAAGAGTCTGTCTCAAAAAAAAAAAAAAAAAAGTTACAAAGAATCAGTCCATCAGATCTAGGAAAAGCTTGCACCATAGCTTGCATTTAGCATCACCTATACAATTCTGACCTGAAGTACAGCAGTGCTCTGAGTTTGGGTGCCAATAGCATGGCTGAATGTGTCAGTCTTCAATGCTGCACTTTTTTTTACTGGGTACAAGTGAGACAATGACAAGTAGCAACTACTACACAAGACTTCCAGGGCCAACCTTGACACACATGCAAAGATGAGAGTGAGGGATAGGGCTGAAATATTCTTTTCAGAGCGATGGTCAAGCTCTAATTATAAGAAAAAGCACATTCATTGGAAAAAGACAAATGCAAATGAGTTATATCTTGCTGCTTCAGGATGGCTTTGAAAAAATTCCTGCCCATCTGCAGTAGTATAGAATTTATATATTTCCAGTTTTTTAAATCATGTTCTAGCTCTCTTTTAAACGAATACCCCAGGGACTGAAGCATTTTACTTTAAATTGGGATAAAACTTGAATGTCTCTATTTTCCACTTACTTAACCAAATCTTATAATTCCTTCAAACTACATTCTTTCCATGTTATACATAAAAACCTGAGTGATCTCTCCCGCTCACGATAATCCCTCACAGAATTTACTATCAGTTTCAACTGTCATCTATATCATATGCTAACCAGACCATTAGTTTCATTTTCAAGTGAATGCGTTTGTCACTCCAGTACCCATGATTGAATCCTAAAAGTTTTTGCCTGATAAACCCAATGCTTCCAGCTCACTATTACCTTCTGCCAAATTCCTCTGATACCATGGGCCACCTGTTAGGACATCCTCCTTGGCACTTCATGCAGACTACCCACTTGGCTGGACTCCTTCCTTCTGTATGGACAAACTCACCGTGTTAAGTCTGTCTACTATTTGGAGGTCTGTTGCCAGGACTGCTAATAAACATGATGCAGTCCTCCTCCGTGATTCTCCCTGAACACTCTGTCTCCCCGCTGTACTAGCAGTAATGAGGGAAGTGAGAGTAAATAAAGTTGAGATTTAATCCCTTAAGCACATACCATGAGGAGAGTAGGCATTTATGGTTAATCCAGGTATTACCTAAGTGATAAGCCCTTTATTCCACGTCACCACTTGGGACCCTATAACAGAAGCCAGCACTATTGTGTTTTCAAATAGTATTTTTCCTTTAGTAAGGAAAAATGAAGATGTTAAACACATGTAAAGAGGAACTTAAAATAGTTTGAAGAAGTTATAGAAAATACTCCCAAAGCTCAAGGAGATGTTAAATCTAGTGGACAAACATTTAAACAAATCTTTCTTTCTAAGTAGCCTGTAAATGTAATCAGTTGGAATAACTTATCTTGAAAATATATTCCAACTTGTTAAAACACCATGACTATTTAATTAACATAGGTTTATGCTTGTTGCTCTGCCATATGCTCTGAAATGACTGAATCCACTTTCCACAACTGTGACCTCAAAAGAAATGCTCTACTAACGTCAGGTCAATGGGGTTTTAAAATAAAGTCTACCAAGAGTCACAATGTCTATTTTTAAAGTAGTCAACCTACTTCTTAGAGCCACGCACAAAACAGAATACAAACACACTTCAAATCTGTTACATGGTGAAATGTTTGTGGAATGCAATTTTCATGATTATTTTTTCAGTGCATTAACAATTGCTTTTCAGGAAATATCACTTCTCTCCAAGTGCCTTTTGACTATACCACAGAGTGCTTTTTAACACCTAACGACAATTTATTCAGATTTATATTTAGATAGTTAATTACTGTAAGATCATACTTCAGTGAAAATGACCAAATGTAATATTATTGATAGTTCATTCTCCTGCTGCTGGTATTTCACCTCTTGAAAAATCACATTATTTGGTGCATGTGAAATAATGTTACATTAATTCCTTTACTCTTTCACAAAGCAAAATATTTATGGTAAAACTGCAATGCACTAATCATGCTGTGGGAATGAAAAAATTGATAAAACACTTCCTCTCCTCAAGGAGCTTACACATTATAGGAGGTATGTATGTACACAGGTGACAAGCAGGTACTTAGATAAATTACAGGAGACAGAAGTATTGAAAGATATCAATAGTATAAGGATCCAAAACTTGATCTTTGAAACTTTCTTTTTTTAATAGTCTCTCCTCTATTCAGCTTCTGTTATGAACTTGATGCACATAAATCTAAGATATTACACACACACCTGCACATATATATCTATGTATATAGGCACACATATATTTGTATTTATTGATATAGAAATATGAGTAGATTTCTGCTAGGTTTATCATCTACTTTCCATTTTTTTCTTTTTCTTTTTAAAATAATTTCCAATTTTATTATAGACTCAGGGGGTCCAAGTGCAGGTTTGTTACATGGGTATATTATGTGATGCTAAGAATTGGGGTATGGATGGCCCTGTTGCCCAGGAGAGAGCATAGTACCTGATGGGTAGTTTTTCGGTCCATTCCCCTCTTCCCTTCTACCCTCTCCAGTAGTCCCCAGTGTCTGTAGTACCTGTTTTTATGTTCACCTGTACTCAATGTTTAGCTCTCATTTATAAATGAGAACATGTGGTATTTGGTTTTCTGTCCCTCTGTTAATTCACTTAGGATGATGGTCTCCAGATGAATCCATGTTGCTGTAAAGGACATCATTTCATTCTTTTTCATGGCTGTATAGTATGCCATGGTGTTCAGGTACCACATTTTCTTTATCTGATCCACTGTTGATGGGCACCTAGGCTGGATGAACATATGTGTGCATGTGTCTTTTTGGTAGAACAACTTCTTTTCCTTTGGGTATATACTCAGTAATGGGATTGCTGGGTTGAATGCTAGTTCTGTTTAAGCTGTTTGAGAGATCTCCAAACTGCTTTCCACAGTGGTTGAACAATTTACATTCCCACCATTAGGGCATAAGCATTCCCTTTTCTCTGCAGCCTTGCCAGCATCTGTTATTCTTTTTAATCTTTTTTATAATAGGTCAGACTGACAGCTGTGAGATGGTATGTCATTCAGTTTTGATTTGCATTTATCTGATGATTAGTGATGATGAGCATTTTTTCATATGCTTGTTGGCTGCTTGTCTTTTTTTTTTTTGAGAAGTGTCTGTTCATGTTCTTTTGCCCAATTTTAGATGGGATTATCTGTTTTTTGCTTGTTGAGTTGTTTAAGTATCTTTTAAATTCTAGATATTAGACCTCTGTTGGATGTATAGTTTGCAGATATTTTCTCCAATACTGTGGGTTGTCTTTTTACTCTCCTATTTCTTTTTCTGTACAAAAGCTCTTTTGTTTAATTAGGTCTCACTTGTCAATTTTTGTTTTTGTTGCAATTGCTTTTGGGGACTTAAGTCATAAATTCTTTGCCAAAGCCAATGTCAAGAAGGAAGAGTCTTTCCTCATGGTTACCACTGCCCCAGGCCCATGGCAAGTACTGCCTGGCTACTGCTGATGTTCACACAAGATCCAATGGCTGTTTAGTCAGCTTATGGTATATACTGCCAGGCCTGGCTCTCTCCTTTCAGGAATGGGCTCCCCTCTGGCCCAGGATGAGTCCAGATGTGTCATCTAGGAGCCAAGGCCTGGAGTCAGGAACCTCAGGAGCCAACTCTGTGCTCTACCCCACTGCGGCTGAGCTGGTACCCAAGCTACAAGACAAAGTTCCCTTTACTCTTCACTCTGCTTTCCTCAAGTAGAAGGAATATCTCGCCATGGCCACCACAGGTGGGGATGTTTGGGTTTCACCTGAAACCAACATGGCTCTGGATGTCACTCAAGGCTGCAGTGAGTACTGCCTAGCTACTCCTTATGTTCATTTAAGGCCCAAGGGCCCTTTAGACAATGGGTGATTAATCTTGCCAGGACTGAGTCCTTCCCTTCAAGTCAGTGGGTTCCCTTCTGGCCCAGAAATGTTGTCCAGAGGTAGAACCTGAAATAGGGGCCTCAGGACTCTCTCTGGTGCCCTATTCTACTGTGGTAAGCTAGTATCCAAGTTGCAAGACAAAGTCCTCTTTACTGTCTGCTCTCCTCTCCTGAAGCAGAGGAAAGGAGTCTGTCCTGGAGCTGTGAGCTGCACTACTAGGGATTGAAGAAGGAGTGGTTCAAGCACTCCCTTGGCCACCCTGGCTGGTGTCTCACTAGGTCGCATGACACAAAGTCTACTGCCTCCAAGCTCAGCACAGCACAAGGACTAGCCAAGAAATTCCAAGTCCTTGTGGCCTAGACTGCCTTTCAAATTTATTTGGGATCCCAAAGCACTTTAGCCTGCAGTTGGGAGGCTACCAGAAATTCCCCTCTGGCTAGGGCTGGTCTAGATGCTCTCTATGTGTGCCAGCTGAATTTTGCCCTGTGTTGCATTCTGCTATGACAGGCAGCACTAAGTTCCAATGCAAAGTCCCATAGTCACTGTGCTCTCCTCCCTCCCCTAAGCACATAGATTCTGTGCCACGTGGCCACTGCTGGGGGATGGGGGAAGAGAGGTATCAGCAATTCAAGACTGTCTCTCTTACCCTCTTCAGTGCCTCTTTCCTAATATAATGTTAAAACCAAGCACTGTGATCATTCATCTGATTTTTGGTTCTTATGGAGGTGCTTTCTTATATGAATTGTTAACTTTCATGCTCCTATAGGGGGACGATCACTGGAAGGTTCTATTTGGATATTTTGCTCCATTTGTCCCACTTTTTTCCTTTGTTTACAAACATATTTTAACTCTTTTTTAAAAAATTGTGTAAATTTATGGGGTACAAGTGTAATTTTCATACATGGATAGATTGTGTAGTGGTGAAGTCTGCACTTTTAGGGTATCCATTACCTGAATCTTTTCCTTAACCTAGCAAAGAAGAACGGTGGGTGGGATATGCTACAAGTCAAATACTTATGCAAAGAAATAGAGGGATATATATAAATCAAATGACATAATTACAAATACTTAACAGAAACTGAGATAAAGTTTTCCTTAGAAGAATGTTTTCTCTACAATTTATTTCTTGTGTCCTGTACGTAGCATGTGTGAGTCACGTTACACTTTGCTGGTATCTGTTTATGCCCTAGTTCTAGTGAGTTTACTAAAACCACAGAAAAATGTGATACAACAATAAAGGTAGAAAAATCCTATTTAGTAAATATCTATAAAAATTAATGATTTACTTTCTCTAAAAGTATTCAGAACTGGCCTGCTAATTTTATTAAAAATAATAAAAAGAACTTTACAAAAGTAGCACCAAATTCTAATGGTTTCTTTTAAAAAAAAATTACAATACCAGCTGGGCACGGTGGCTCATGCCTGTAATCCCAGCACTTTGGGAGGCCGAGGTGGGCGGATCACCTGAGGTTGGGAGTTCGGGACCAGCCTGACCAACATAGAGAAACCCCATCTCTACTAAAAAAAAAAATACAAAATTAGCCAGGTATGGTGGTGCATGCCTGTAATCCCAGCTACCTGGGAGGCTGAGGCAGGAGAATCGCTTGAACCCAGGAGGCAGAGGTTGCAGTGAGCCGAGATCACGCCATTGCACTCCAGCCTGGGCAACAAGAGTGAAACTCCATATCAGAAAAAAAAAAAATACAATACCTTTCTATAGTATAAGTGGAATTTTCCTACCAATAGAGAACCTAGGATCGACTGCTTTCAAATCATTTAAATAATTCTAATAAGGACAGGTGTTTCAGTGACACTAATTTTACTTCTTTATTTTTCTTTCATCTGGAATATGTAAATATGGGATGAATTAGAACACAGTTTAGTTGGTTGTGAACTTGTTAGGATATTTGTCTTATATATTTTCAAATGTCTTGAGTACATATGCTTTCTGGGGCTCTGTTTCCTTAAATTAACTCTCTTACCACATGTACTAGTTCCTACAACTTCTACATGATGCTCACAAAGAGGGATACAGTTTGCACATGACTCAGTGCTTAGCTGTCACTTCTTTATCCTCATCAAGCAGTTATTACTCTGGGCCTACTCCTGCCATGTAAGGCACTTTGCTTGGGAAGCTCCATGGATATGAAGAGTTATAAGGAAAAAGTGACATATTGATTTGCAGTTCAGGTAAAAAGTGCTACAGGAGTTCTGAAGAGGAAGTGATCACATGACTTTAATGAAGAGAAAGTTGAAATGGTCTCCAATGGTAGGATCCAAATGAGCAGAACAGAAAAGGCACAATCTGTAGAGGAACAAGAGACTCCTGACACTGGGGAATAAGTATGCTGTGGGCAAATGCCCAGCAGCAAATATGTTGATCTGGGTGGAACTAGAGCATAGAAGACGTGGGAGAATACAGAGTCAGGGCCAGACCATGGAGGGCACTCAGAGAGCTCCCAGAGGCTGGACTCTCCTCTCGGACAATGAGGAGTCATGGACAATATCTAGGGCTGAGAAGTGTAAAACATGACATTTCCAACTGGAAGGTTATGAAGAAGAGCTGCATAGGGCATATGGTACGTGGATGTGTGGTGGCAGAAGATCCATAGGAGATTAAATAGTATAGAGGGGAGTCAAGACTGGAATGGTGGCAAGGAAACGAGAAAGAAGAATGATATTAAAGGCATAAAGATAAATCAGTAGGCCTGGCTAGCTGACTTAGTGTTAGGGGAGACAGAAAAGAAGAAGTTAAGAGACCTAAATTTTGGGGCTAATTTTTTACTCATCTTTATATTAGAAACCTACTAATTTGGAGTTATAGCCCAACCTCTCTCCCCTTTTCTTTCAGATGACCTCATCACCATAGCCTCCCATGCTGAGCCCATGAGTTTCTCCAATTCCTTCCTAGGAAATCTGGAATCAGGCCTGACAGCTAGAGGGTGATTGCCCTCTGAGGTGTCGGCAGTAGCCATTTTCTTCCATTTGAACGAGAAACCTGGAAAGGCCATTTTACAATAAGAGAAAAAAAAAGAGAAGGCAAAAACAAAAAAGATAAGAGATGGAAAATAAATGCTAGGTCTGGATTCCCTGTTACACCCTGGTCTCTGCTTTCATGTGTCCCTAGAGGCAACTACATCCCTCCTCTTGAATTGGGTAGGATATCCCTAAAATGCAGCAATACATTCCTCCTTTGATTAAGTTAGCTTGGCCGGGTTATTGCTACTTGTAGCCAAAATGGTCCAAACTTAAATATTCCTCAGCATAAACTCTTCATCGTCGGTCATTTGGTGCTCTGACTACTCTCTGAACACTTCAGCATGTTATTAACATTTTACATTGTTATGATATTTTTTCATCTAGAATGTCTTTCCCTTCCCCTTTGCTGACTCTGCCTATGTAAATCCTGACTATCCTTTCTTTCTTCCATCTGTCTTTATTAAGCAGTTTTTGAGTGAATCCATAATATCTGTAAATTACAATGTTATATTTTCCCACTTGAAGTCCTTGATTTTAGTGAACTTATTGGAAGAATACTGAAAACTTACACAAACAGAGTAGAAGCATGAGGATGGTAATGGACAATCAAAGAATTTATGCTCTCAAATATATGAATGTAAGCAAATTCAATTAGACAACAGTCTACTGGGCTACTAATACCATTGACTTTAAGATGGGTTCAGAGAGGTATCAGTAGGCCATCTGGCCAATGTGGACATTTTACAAGAGAAATTATATTAGTTAGGAAATAGAGGAAGATAAAAATAGCCTTTATATAAGTAATGCATGATACATTATTGCATAAGTGCTAAAAATTCAATTCTGTAGATACCCATGGGACGTCCTACAGCTTAGTGACAGGCAGATCTAGAACCTGCCAGTGCTGTCTAACTCAAAGTCAGATTGGAAAGTTTTTTCCATTGCTATTTCAGGAAATAAGAAATTTATCAATTTTCAAATGCAACAAAAATATTCCGTTTTACCTCTTTAAATAATTTTTAAAAATGATAGTGTATTTTAAAATATTATCCATTAAAGTAGTAATATACTCAAAGAACCATCTTGAACCTAATGCCCAAGATATATTATTTAACAAATTTAAAAAAAATCAATAAATAAACTGTTATTCTCTTTTGAGACAACACTGAATATCTCTCATAAAGGCCTCTTTTTGCCTCTAGAAATGAGAAAACCAATCTGCTATCCTGTGAAATCTCACATAAATTCAGAATACAGTGGAGTATTCCTTCAGTAATTGTAGTCTTTGGTCTGGTGACTTACAATGCCTCAGGAGGGAAAAAAATTGCCTTATGAAAGCAATAAGAAAATGTCTAACAAATGGATGGATATTTAATGAGCAAGAAATAGCTAGTGTCTCTTTCTGCCCCATTCAAAAGAATAGTCCTAAAACGCCAAAGAGTCACACCAGATTACATGAGTAACACTGGTTAGTGTGATGCTATTGTATGAAAAATCTGTTGCTAAGCAGGGCAGAAATATGGTTTACATGAAAATGGAATGATCTCTGGTGAATACTGAAAGAAAGTAACAATTTCCATAACCAGAAAAAGAATTTTTACATCACTTCATTTCAACTGCTATAAAACCCTGAGTTGCTTTGACAATTGCTTTTCCCTGCTTTGCTGCTTTTATATAATCCTCATGTCTGCAGCTTTCCATTTACTAAATGACAAGGATTTTTGGTTTTTGTTTCTGAGTGTGTTTTTTTTCCCCCTAAAGCCTAGGCAGAAAATACCAATGTGCTATATGGTTTCTAGGGGCCCACCTTGCAATGTTCATAAAATACATTTTTGGTGCCCCTCTTATAAAAGTCCAATTGGCTTTCCCTCCCAGTATAATAGCTGAAAATATAAACAGAGAAGGCCCCATCAAAAGTAACTGTAAATGCTGTACTTATTTAGATTTATGGAGCCTGTTGCCATATCCTGTTTGTTATACTGGGAACAGAGCATGCAGCAGCTTCACTGAGGGGAGGGAAATACACTTACCTGCATCACAATAAGAAGGTCAAAGACCAAGATAAAAGAAGCAAGGAATGCTCTGGAAACTTCATCACTGGGCAAAAATCCCCGATTCAGCTTGTCCCAGCTGATCCAGTCCGTTGTAATCACAAGTACAACCACAGACGTCAGAGTAAAAAGAACTGTCCTGTAAGGAACAAGACACTCATTAAAGAACATAAGGCATAAAATATAGATACTAGAGAGTGCATGTTATCTGTGTTGTATTAAATGTCTGCCCCTTGGCAAGCACCTACCCTAAGGTATATTAGCCAAAAGGAAGATGAAAAAAGTTGGCCGGGCATGGTGGCTCATGCCTGTAGTCCCAGAACTTTGGGAGCCCAAGGCAGGTGGATCACCTGAGGTCAGGAGTTCGAGACAAGCCTGTCCAACACGGTGAATCCCTGTCTCTACTAAAAATACAAAAAAATTAGCCAAACGCAGTGGTGTGCGCCTGTAGTCCCAGCTACTTGGGAGGCTGAGGCTGGAGAATCACTTGAACCTGGGAGGTGGAGTTTGCAGTGAGCCGAGATTGCGCCACTGCACTCCAGCCTGGGTGACAGAGCGAGACTCCATCTCAAAAAAAAAAAAAAAAAAAATTAAATGCCTTCTATCAAAAGCAGTTTTCCCCAAAGAACATTAAGATAATAATTATGGAACAAATAATTAACAACAACAATATTAAAAATGACTTTGGTTAGTGCAGTAAGTGTCCCAAGAAAACATTGGTGTGTAGCTCTTAGTAAACCTGTACATTGTTTACCAAGGGTAGTGGACATGCAATGTAAGAAGATAAGGCAGATGGTGAATGGGTGAGGAAATCTTTGGATTCCATTATCCTTCTACAAAAGAGAGGGATAGTTAGACCAGACTCATCACCATCTCTAAGACTTGATAAGCTCCATACAGGGACCACCTCTAAAAGCCAATAATGTAGCCTGTTCTCATAGGACATATATCATCCATGGCTTGTGGTCTAGTGACCTCTCTCCATGTCAGAGCAACTGCTCCCTGCTAGATAAGATACTAGGAGCCTGACATTTTCTCTTATCTATCTTTGTAGCCCCCATAAAATCTTGCATAAGTATACACAGATGGAATTCAATGAGGGTTAGTTGAAACTAAAGCATTTTTAAAAATCAGAAAAATACTCAAATTAGTCTTTAATGCTGACTTTTAAAGTAGATCTGAAATGTGGGTGATGAAAATTTGATCTGCCAGAGAATTGTCCATAATGTAGTTAAGCCTGTGCTTTTCAGGGCTATATTGATGGCTAGATATTGTTTAGAATTATAAGAAGAAAAAAAAAAACAATTACTTGAAATAAATTTAATCAGATAAAAATGCAAGAAAGAAAAGGGAAATAAAGGAAAACAGAAGAAAAAACATAGAGGTGAAATAACATTGTAGAACACATATCCGTTTTGGCAATTAACAAAACCGTTTTTGCCCTCTAATGTCTTATAATAATTGAAACTCATATAAAATAATATGAATCTTCATAGAATTCTCTTTTCAATTGTACATAGTGTAAACCTCTAAGCCAAAAATTTGGTTTTCCTTTTCACAATTTCTTATTTGAGGCAAGTTATACTTTAATATAATGGATATAAAGAAACACTTCTTATGTTTTTTTTTCTCCTCATGAATGGAAAGATACATTATTTTTTAAAATTTTAGAAAATAAACATTCCTATTAAACCTCATTATTTTATTAAAATTGCAAACTTTCAAAAGAATTTGACTCACGACCTCTAAAATATAAAATACAGATTGTCTCCTGCTGTGGTGTAGAGTAACTTTGATCACAAAAATTCAAATGAATTAAATAAGCATGGGAGAAGTTCTAACTAATTATTATAACTCAATAGATAGAAATTGCAAGTATTATGTAATAAGAATAGTGGGATTTAAGCAAAATTTTCTCCAGGTTAAGTCTATGTGTTTTTGATTTTGTTTTCTTGAGCTTGAGAAACCTCAAACAACTCTGAATGAAATCACCACAATTTCTTTTTTCAAGAAGGAATATAGCAACCTTGATGAAGAATAAATATTGATTATTATTCAAAGTTTTTTGGTAGTAAGGGTATTTTCTTATCATTCTTGGCTTTTCAAATGCATTTCCCACAAGGATGCTATAAATATATACACTTTACAGGAATGCACTCATATGGCTGTATAGGTTGGTAAATAGTTGGGGCTCCAATTTCCTTATATCCCACTTTCTTTTTCTCCCCAGCCTCCTTCACAGAGCCTCTCACCTCCCTGTTATCCAGCACTGCCTGGTTAACCTCTGGTGAAACAAGGGTACTCTAGTACCTCACTCTAATTCTATAGCCAGTGTCTATTCTATTGGTCAGAGCCTGTGCTCTGTGGTATTTTTAATATCATTACTGTATTTTCACCTGGAACCCCCTTTAGTAAAGACAGTTGATTAAGAAGAATTAATACTCTAATATTACTTCATAGGTCTAAAAATGTAAACTGATACTGTAAAATTAAATATTTATTCAGAGGCACATTTTTAGGTGTGAAAGTCTAGGAGTTTGGAATAAGTGTCTGCTGAGAAATTAGAAACCTCATCTAGTACAATATTTATAAAGGAACTATTCTAGGAGTCAGCAAGATAGCAGAATAGGAGATCCTCTACTCATATCCTCCCACAGAACAATAATTTGGCAGCTATCTATGGAAAAAAGTGCCTTTTTCGAGCTTTGGATTCAGATACGAAGTCCAAGACTGATCAGGGCTGTCTGAGAGGGCAGGCTTGTACCCAGTTGCCAGGCTTATGAACAGTGGTCCTGGATACAGACCCAGAAACAGCCTCAGCCCCCTATGAACTTGGCTACAACTCCATTTGGCCTTTGTCCTGCCACCAGAATCATCCACCAAGGAATGAGGGAGGAGTCATGCCCACATGCACTTTGTACAACAGACCGGCTGATCTCAGCCCTAGCTGTCGACCATAAAGAGGCCCTGTAATTCAGCTCTAGCCATTCTCACCTGTAGTCTGACAGCATTTCTTCCCACACAGGGACCTGCCAGGAGATATGCCCATTCATGCCCTGGTGGCAGTCCCACCAACTTTGGTCCCACTGTAGATGCTGAAAGAGCCCTTTAACTTGGTTCCAGCTCCTCTCAGCTGTGATCTGAGAGCAGTTCTGCCCACCAAGGGACTTTATAGGAAACATGCTTATCCATGCTCCCAGAAATAGGCCTCAGGCTGAATGTAGATCCTGAAGTAGACCTGTGACCCAGCTCCAGCCCTGCTCGGCTGCAGTCAGGGGCAGTCTTGCCCAATCAAGAACCTGGCAGGAGGTACATTTGTCTGTGACCCTGGAGAGAGACCTAAAAACACTGAACTCAGCTGTGGACCCTGAAGCACACTCTCTAACTCAGTTCTAGCCCCTCTCAGCCATAGTCCAGGACCAGTTCTGCCTGACCAAGGATCCACCTAGTGACCCAGTGGGAGCCCTCTTAAGAACCTGGAGAGAAAGACACCGAATAGTATACCTGGTAATAGGCCTACCATCTGTGGAGCCAACTGTGGAATCTAAAGCACACCCTTGCCCTAGTGTCTGTTCTACTGCCCAAAGTCCAATCTGTCTTGAGACCAGACAGGATCCATATACACTCTGCTCCTTGTAAGAACCAGCAAAAGTCTCGTGACCCAGTTAAAATTCCAGTCGACTGTGGTCCCAAAACCAATCCTAGCAGGCTGGGAACCCTACAGGAGAAGGTCAATATCTGCCAAAGCCAATCTGTAAAGACTTGAACAGGTATTTGTTCCTTCAAATGCAGACACAAAGGCAAAGCTACACAGACAATAAAGAATTAGATAAACATGACACCACAGAAGGAAACTAATAAGCACCAGTAACAACCCCAAAGAAATTGAGATCTATGAACTGTCTGACAAAGAATTCAAAACAATCATATTAAAGAAGATCAATGGGATGGAAGAGGAAACAGACAACTAAATGAAATCAGAAAAACAATGCATGGACAAAATTAGAAGTTCATAAAAAATAGAAACCATAAAAAAAAAAACAGAAATCCTGGATTGAAGAATACAATAATAGAACTGAAAAATTCAAAAGAGAGCTACAATATCATATTTAATCATGGAGAAGAAAAAAATATCAAACTTAAAGACAGGTCACATGAAATTAGCCAGTTAGAGGAATGACAATTAAAAAAGAGTAAAGACAGCATACTAGGCCAAGCGTAGTGGCTTATGCCCGTAATCCCAGCACTTTGGGAGGCCAAGGCAGGTGGATTGCTTGAGGTCAGGAGTTCGAGACCAGCCTGGGCAACACAGTGAAACCCTGTCTCTTAAAAAAAGAAAAAAGAAAATTCAGCCAGGCATAGTGGCCTGCGCCTGCAGTCCCAGCTACTCGGGAGGCTGAGGCAGGAGAATCACTTGAGCCCAGGAGGCAAAGGTTGCAGTGAGCCAAGATCACACCACTCAACTCCAGTCTGGGTGACAGAGCAAGACCCTGTCTCAAATAAATAAATAAATAAATACAATATATATAGAAAGAGAGCATACTAACCTATGGGTACCATCAAGATAATAAATACGCGATTTATGAAAGTCACAGGAGAAGAGAGAAAGAAAGAAACAGAAGGCTTAAAGAAATAACGTCTGAAAACTTCCCAGAGGGATACAGACATCCAGATTTATGAAGCTCAAAGAATCTAAAGAAGGACCCACCCAGAGAATATTTTTCTGAGACACATTACAGTAGTTCCCCTTTATCTGTGGTTTCACTTTCAATGCTTTCATTTACCTACAGTCAGTCAACCACAGTTTGAAAATACTATACGGAAAATTCCAGAAATAAACAATTCACAAGTTTTAAATTGCATTCTGTTCTGAGCAGAGTGATGAAATCTAACTCTGTCCTGCTCTTTCTTGTCCAGGATGTGGATTATCCCTTTTTCCAGGATATGACACTGAGTATGCTAACAGTCATTTAGTCACTTAGTAGCCATCTGTTATCAGATTGACTGTGTGGTATTGCAGTTTGTGTTCAAGTAATACTTCTTTTACTTAATAATGGCTCCAAAGCACAAGAGTAGTGATGCTGGCAATTTGGATATGCCAAAGAGAAGCCATCAAGTGGAAAGGTGAAAGCTCTTGACTTAGTAAAGAAAGAAAAAAAATGGTATGCTGAGTTTCCCAAGATCCATGGTAAGAACAAATCTTCTACCCATGAAATTAAGAAGAAAAAATGGAAATTCATACTAGTTTCCATTTGCTGTTGCACTTCAGACTGCAGAAGTTATGGTCACAATGTGTGATAAGCAAAGATGGAAAAGGCATTAAATTTGTTTGTAGAAGACATGAACAGAAACAGGTTCCAACTGATGGCAATTGGATTCAGTACTATCCACAGTTTCAGGCATCCACTGGGAATCTTAGAATTTATTCCTCACAGATAGAGAGGGAATACTTTATGATCAAATTGACTAAAGTCTTCAATAAAGAGGGAAACTTTAAAGCAGCAAGGGAAAAGAGACTCATCACAAAGAAGGGTACCCTGATAAAACTATTGGTGAACATCTCCATAAAAAACCTTGAAAACCAGGAGAGAGTGGAATGATATATTCAAAGTGTTCAGGAAACGAAGAGTTAAAAAAGAATGCTATATCCAACAAGGCTGTCTTTCAGAAATGTAGGAGAGAGAAGGACTTTTCCACAGAAGCTAAGGCTAAGGGAATTCATTGCCACTAGATCTGACTTTTAAAAGAATGCTGAAGGTAGAACTTAATGCTAAATTGAACTGAAAAGATGCTAATTAACAAAATAAAAATATCTGAATGTATAAGATTCCCTAGTAAAGTTAAAAATATAGTCAAGTTCAGAATATTGTAATAGTTGTATATAAACCACTTGTTAACTTTAGAGTAAAAGTTAAGAAACAAAAGTATTAAAAATAACTATAGATACACTAGTTTGTTAAAGATATACAATATAAAGAGATGCACGGTGTGACATCAATAGCATAAAACGTTGACTGGGGAGTAAAAGTGTAGAGTGTTTGTATGCAACTGAAGTCAAGTTCTTATCAACTTAAAATGGAATGTTATAAGATCTTTTACGCAAGCCTCATTGTAACCACAAAGAAAAAACCTCTAGTAGACACACAAAAGACAAAAAGGAATTAAAAATATAAGATTATAGGAAATCATCAAAATACAAAGAAAGACAGCAGGAGAAAAAGAAAGGAACAGAAGAATAGCAAAACATTTTAAAAAGTGGAAGTCATAAGTCTTTACCTATCAATAATTAGTTTAAATGTAAACGGATTACATTCTTCAATCTAAAAATGCAGAGTGGCTGAATAGATTCAAAAAGCAAAAACAAGAGCCCATTATAAGCTGCCTATAAGAGAATCATTTTAGTCTTAAGGACACACATATGCTGAAATGTAGGAATGGGAAAAGACATTCTAATCAAATGGTAACCAAAAGACAGCAGGGGTGGATATATTCAAATTAGACAGAATGGACTTTCAGTCAAAATCTGTTACAAGAAACAAAGATGGTCATTATATAATAACAAGTGTCAATATATAAAGAGAATGTAACAATTTTGTATATATATATATCCAGTACCAGAGCATCTAAACATACAAGGCAACTACTAACAGAACTGAAAAAAAAGAGACAGCAATACAATAATAATAGGGGACTTCAATTTCTATTTGCAACAATGAATAGATCATACAGATCAAAATCAACAACGAAACAATGGACTTGAATAACACCATACACCAAATGACTAACAAATATATTCAAAACATTCCATCTGAAGCAGCAAAATGAACCTTCTTCTCCAGCATACATGGAACATTCTTCAGGATAAGATCATATATTAAGCCACAAAACAGCACTTTATCTTTTCTGACCACAATAGTATGAAACCAGAAATCAGTAACAGGAAGATTTTGTAAAATTCACAAGCATATGAAAATTAAACAACATGCTACCTGAACAACCAATGGGTCAAAGAAGAAATCAAAAGGGAAATCAGAAAGTATCTTGAGACCACAAAAAATAAAAACAGAACGTACCCAAACTGATAGGATGCAGCAAATACAGTTCTAAGAGGGAAGTTTATAATCATAACTGCCTATAATAAGCATAAAGAAAGATCCCAAATAAAACGCTAAATTTTATACCTCAAGGAACTAGGAAAAGAAGAACAAACTAAACTAATGCCAAAGTTAGTAGAAGATAGGATGTAACAAAGATCAGAGCAAAAATAAATCAAATAGAGACTAATAAAACAATGAAATACCAACAAAGCTAAAACTTGGTTTTTTGAAAATATAAACAAAATTGATAAACCTTTAGCCATACCAACCAAGAAAAAAAGAAGGGACTCAAATAAAATTATAAATAAAAGGGAAGACATTACAACTGATACCACAG
Organism: Homo sapiens; assembly: GCF_000001405.40. Taxonomy (NCBI): domain Eukaryota; kingdom Metazoa; phylum Chordata; class Mammalia; order Primates; family Hominidae; genus Homo; species Homo sapiens. The sequence continues at coordinate 44,292,284 of NC_000012.12, read as the reverse complement.
AAATACAAAGGGTCATAAGAGACTACTCCGAATAATAATATTCCAACAAATTGGATAACCTGGAATAAGGATAAATTCCTAGAAACATACAAGTTACCAAGACTGAATAATGAAGAAGTAGAAAACCTGAACAGACCGATCATGAGTAAAAACCTCTAAAGAAAAGCCTAAAACCTGATAGCTTCACAAGTGAATTATATCAGATATTTAAAGAGGAATTAGTATCAATCCTTCTCAAATTCTTCTAAAAATTCAGAAGGAGAGGATACCTCCAATCTCATTTTAAGAAGCTAGCATTATTCTGATACTAAAGCCAGATATGGATACTACAAAAAAAGAAAATCATAGGTCAATATTCCTAATGAATATAAATACAAACATTTTTAAGAAAATGTAATCAAACCAAATTAATAACACTTTAAAAGAATACCATGATCAAATGACATTTATCCTTGGCAAGCAAGGATATGTTAGCTTACACAAATCAATAAATGTGATGCATCACATTAAGAGAATAAAGGATACAAATCATATGATCATCTCAAATGCAGAGAAAGCATTTGATAAAATTCAGCATTATTCCATGATAAAAACTCTCAACTAATAAGGTACAGAAGAAATGTACCTCAAAAGAACTAAGGCTATATATAACAACCTCTCAACCAACGTTGTACTTAACAATGAAAAGATGAAAGCTTTTACTTTAAGATCAGGAACAAGAAAAGATGCCCACCCTCATCATTTCTATTTAACATGGTACTGAAAGTCTAGCCAGAGCAATTAGGCAAGAAAATGAAATAAAAGATATCCAAATCAGAAAGGAAGAAAAACTGTTTCTGATTGCAGATAACATGATCTTACATACAGGAAACCCTAAAGACTCCACCAAAAAAAAAAAAAAAAAAAAAAACTGTTAGAACTAATAAACAAATTGAGTAAAGTTGCAGGACAAAAAAATCAACATACAAAAGTTAGCTGTGTTTCTACATACTAATAATAAACCATCTAAAAAGAATCAAAACAATCCACTTTACAAAAGAATAATAAAGAATAAAATTCTTGCAAATAAATTTAACGAGAGGTGAAAGATCTGTACACTGAAAATTGTAAGATGTTGATGAAAGAAACTGAAGAGACAAATAAATGGAATACTTCCTATCTTCAGAGATGGGAATAATTAATACTGCTAAAATATCCATATTACCCAAATAAATCTACAGATTCAATGTAATCCCTATAAAAATTCCAATGGCATTTTTCAAAGAAATCAGAAAAACATTTCTAAAATTAATATAAAACTATAGAAGATGTTGAATAGCCAAACGAATCTTGGGAAAGTACAGCAGGGCCAGGCACAGTAGCTCATGCCTAAAATATCAGTGCTTTGGGAGACCAAGGTAGGAGGATCTTGAGATTGGAAGTTCCAGACCACCCTGGGTAACATAGTGAGACCTCGCTTTTATATATAAAAAATTAATAACCAGCTGGGGCTGATGGTGCATGCTTATAGCCCCAGCAACTCCAGAAGCTGAGGTGGGAGGATTGCTTGAGTCCAGGAGTTTGAGTTTGCAGTGAGCTATGACTAAGCCATTGCACTGCAGCCCAGGTGACAAAGAGAGACACTTGTCCTTAAAAAATAAAAAAGAACAAAACTGGAGGTGTCACACCTTCTGATTTCAAATTATGTTACAAAGCTACAGTAATCAAAACAGTATGCTACTGGCATAAAAATGAGATACATAGACCAATAGAACAGAGAGCCAGAAATAAACCCATACATAGACAGTCAACTAATCTTTGACAAAAGCACTAAGAATACAAAGAGAATGGCATTGTGATAAATGAATATCCACATACAAAAGAAAGAAATTAGACACCTACATCATACACAAATATTAACTCAAAATGGATTAAAGACTTAAATGTAAGGCCTGAAATCATAAAACTCTTATAAGAAAACAGGGAAAAAGCTCCTTGACATTCGTATTGGCAATGATTTTTTGTATATGACACAAAAAGCAGAGGCAAAAAAATAAAAATAAGCAAACGGGATAACATCAAAGTAAGAAACTTATGTACTGCAAAAGAAACAATCACACTTATGTACTGCAAAAGAAATAAAAAGGCAAGCTATGAAATGGGAGATGGTTTTACAAACCTTGTATCTGACAAGGGGTTAATATTAAAAATATATAAGGAACTCATACAAGTTAATAGCAAAAAATGAAATAACCTGGTTAGAAAATGGGCAAGGGGTGTGAATAAACATTCTTCCAAAGAAAACATACAAATGCCCAACAGGTGTATTAAAAGGTGCTTTATCTCACTAATCATCTGGGAAATGCAAATTAAAACTACAATGACATATTGCTGTTAGAATGGTTATTATCAAAAAGACAAGGGATAACAAGTGTTGGTGATGGTGTTAAGAAAAGGGATCCCTAGACTCAGTGCAGTGGCTGTAATCCCAGCACTTTGGGAAGCTGAGGCGGGCGGATCAGGAAGGAGTTTGAGACCATCCTGGCCAACATAGTGAAACCCTGTCTCTACTAAAAATACAAAAAATTAGCCAGGCATGGTGGCGGGCGCCTGCAATCCCAGTTACTCGGGAGGCTGAGGCAGGAGAATCGCTTGAACCTGAGAGGCGGAGGTTGCAGTGAGCTGAGATTGTGCCACTGCACTCCAGCCTAGGTAACAGAGGGAGACTCTGTCTCAAAAAAAAAAAAAAAAAAAAGAGAAAAGAAAAGAAAACAGATCTCTTTTACATTGTTAGTGGGAATGGTAATGTAAATTGATTCAGCAAGTATGGCAAACAGTAAGGAGGTTCTTCAAAAAATTAAAAATAAAACTACTATACAATCCAGCAAATCCACTTCTGAATATATATCTAAAGGCAATTAAGTCAGTATCTTGATGAGATATCTGCACTTTCTTGTTCATATCATCATTATTCACAACAGCCAAGATGTAGAACCAACCTAAGTACCTATTAATGGATGAATGAAGAAAGAAAATGTTACACACACACACACACACACACACACACACACACACACACAAAATGGGATAGTATTCAGCCTTAAAAGAGATGAAATCCTTCCATTTGCAACAACATGGATGCACCTAAAGAACATTATGCTAAATAAAATAAGCCAGATATAGAAATACCCATACTGTATGGTATCACTTACATGTGATATCTGAAAAAGTAGAACTCATAGAAGCAAAGAGTAGAAGAACAGATATCAGGGATTATGAGTGGGGAAAATTGGGAGATGTTGTTTGAAGTGTACAAACTTTCAGTTATAAGTGAATAGGTTCTGAGGATCTAATGTACAGCATGGTGACTATAATTAATAATACTGAAGTTTTACTTGAAATTCACTAGGAAGGTAGGTATTGAGTGTCTTCACCACATGCATACATACATACACACACAATGGTTAACTATGTATGATGAATATGTTCATTAATTTGATTGTGTTGATACATGCATATGTATATTAAATCATGTTGTGCACTTTAAACATATACAATTTTGTTAATTATACCCCAATAAAGCTGAAAAAGGGAGTAATTCTTATTCATGCTAATTATCTCATTGTGAATAAAGTAATTAAAATTAGTAATTAAAACTTTTTTATAATTTGATAAGTACTTCGGTAATTAGAATTTATTGTAACATTTTGTGTGAGAGATTCCTGAGGCCAAATCAGCACCAATTCACCTCTTGGATGTTTTCATTATTTGACATATTTATATAATATAAAACACTCTTTCTAAGAGCTCTTGATACGTGGTTTTCTGGCTTTATAATGTACTTCCATTTTGACAAAGGGTATTGCTACAGATCTCAGGAAACAGTTACTGGTACCATTTTATTACTCCAAAGGGAAATTAAAGGAGGTATTCTGCCTGATATTTAATATTTAATTCTCCAAAAGGAATAAAAATGGCAATCATTAAATATCAATGCATACAGCTCAGAGAAAAAGACCTAAAAATAAAATCTCAAGAGAATGGAAAACAGAAAAGAGGGAGCAAAATACTTTAATTGGTCATATCACCTCCAAAATTATGCTCAGCGTCTTATGTAGATATAACTGCAGATGCAAATGTATTGTATTGCATGCCATTTGTTTTTCTGAGCCACTTCTTGTAAAATTGATAGACTTCACCATGCTATGATAATTCAGCCAAAACCAATACTTTTAAAGAGCCAGGGCTCAGTTAGTTAGGTCATATAAAAAGAGTCACTTTTCTGTAAAACTGCCATGCAGGAAATAGTAATAATAGCAAATTACTATTTCAGACATATGGCACTTAAGCCAAGCACTGGCATAAAGTCTTTATACAAATTAACCACCAATTAACTTATGTAATGTTTACTACTACCCCAATACCATCCCACCCAGTTTAAAAGTGCTGAAACTGAATCACAGGAAGTTTCAATAACTAAACCAAACTTATAACACATATTTTATAAATTATGTAACATATAAGATAGAAATGATGTAAGATGGTTCAAGTCCAGGCTGACTCATGACAGTTTTTGTCATAAGCACTGCACTGCAATGCCTTTCATAGGAAGCACTTGAATATTACCCTCCTGTTATTATGTTTGTAGCTAGGATTTCATTCATTTTCATTTTTCATTATAAGCATACTATTGTAAAATCATCATCCAGAAGTACTTAACATTGAAAAGTAAAGCTGACAGAGACTGTCAAGGACAGCAGGGAACAGTTAAAAGGAAATTTCATGGCAGTGAAAATGGAACCTCATGGATGTTGGCCATCAGTGCACCATCCTTGGGTTTTTATTTAACCAATATGGTGGAAAAGATGTTTAATCTGGACCATACTTCTTGGGGGGTTTCTACTTCTCTTTTTAAATAGTATCCAATTAAATAATTATCTGGATTACTTTCCTTTCAGGCTGCAGCCACTGCCAGCAAGACACGCTGGCTCATCAATTCCACCCTCTCTGGTTTCTGGCCTCTAGTCAAATGGAAAGAACTCATACATAATTATCAGCTTGAGTGGTTGGAATCTTCATTATAATGATTCCATATTTCCAGTTAGTCTATTTCCTTTTCCTCAATTGTTGCTAATACCTCTTAGGTTAATAGAAATTAGAATGTGAGACTAAGAAGGGTTAACAGAGCTTTTATAATCCAATGGTTCCTAACCTCTGGGGTGGGCTCCTGAGAATCACAGAGTTGTTGTTAAAAAAGTGTGAATGCATATGTGCACTAAGATCTCGGTAAAGTGAACAAATAAACTGCTTCCATAGAGGTTAGGCCACCTGCTTGTGTCACAGAGGCTGCCAGTGACAGAACTGATGAGAATTTACATCTATTGACAGTAAGGATTTGCTTTGTAGTAGAGTTCAAGTTTTGTAGTAGACCACCTTTTTTCTGTTCAGCTAAAAAGCTGCACAAATTCTCAAAAATATAATATCATCTTGATATCATTTGTTGGAAACATGCATTTTAGAGCCTACTCAATTGTTTATTATATATGGGATTAGAGACATAGTAGCACATGTAAATAAATCCAGATAATCTCCCAAAACAAGATTTAATTCATAGTCTTAACTGCTCCTTTATTCTAACTCCTGGGTTTTATAAAATACGGAACTTTTACTTTAGGTATCTAAATTTATGGATATTGTTTTCTTTCATTCATTACCACTTAAGATAGACTTCTTGAGTAGTCAGCCTGAAAGCAGTCATTAAATCAAAAGAGAGAGGAAGTGGTATTAGGTTTAGACAATCCACAAAGGGCTGACTCATTTATGGTGGTTAACTATCATGCAATTTAATTTTCATTAAACTGGTAGCAAAAATGTGCAGAATTACCTAATATAAGCTGATTGCCAAAATTTGACGATTTTTTTCTATCAAAAATAGAAACTTCATGTGATTCAACACAATAAAACATATTTATTATGTTTATATATATTATATATATAAAACTGTTTTAATACATTAACTATTATTCATGTTCTAAATGTTTATAATCTTTGATTCCAGTCATGAATATCATATTCCTTATGTTCATGCTGCACAGTTATTATAAAATCTTAAAGGAAATAAAAATAACTTTGATTTCTTTTTATAATACTAATGTTAAAATGTTGGAATGCAACCAAAAAAGTCAAATAATGTATCAGTTTCTTACAGAAAAATAAAAATCTGTGAATCTTATTAAATAGAAAGGTTTAAAGTGAAGTGGGATAGCAAACTTAAATTTACAATTAAATTATGATATAGTGTCACATATGAAAATGCTAAATACATGAAACAAAATATGGCATGACAATGGAATTTAAAACAATTAAATGTCATAATTTCTAACCATGTTGTTCATGAGAAAAAAATAAACAGGCAAAAGCAGAAGAATGCTTTCCTTCATTTTTCACTGCAAAACCAAGAACCAGTTCAAACATTCAGTTGCCTGTGAACACTAAGTACCAGCACACTGAAGTCACAGATGGCCATGAAAGAATGCCAACACTTTTCATTTTCCTTGTTTTAATGATCAATATTGTCACCTCAACTCTGTAACAAAAGCAATCACCACTCATGTACTCAAGCCAGTTTATCCTGAAATATGTGGGTTTACTGAACCCTGAAGCCCAGCTGATGAGGTCAACGTTGCTCTTTAGGAAGTAGGGAAGGAAGTGATTTGGTTCTCTTCTGGTTTCCTACTCTTGAGATCAGGAAATGTCGAGGGAGCACAAAGGTAATGTTTGCCAAGTGACCTAGTGAAAGAGTACAGCTTCTCCATATGGCTTTCAGTAAGTAAATGCTGCTGCTGTTTTTTGGCCAATCTGAACACATTTGTTAAGATAGCATCCTTGAGAACGGAGATGCAGTTATGAACTTATCTTGTTTGTGGCTCCATTGAGATCTGGAGTCTGTAAAGGAAATTACTAGACTCTAATGTTGTCCATTAAAGTACACATTTACGTGTTATTTATCTTTGTATATCTCTTTACTTCAACAAGAAAAGAACCCTGAGCACAGCAGCACCTCAAAAGTGTAAACAAAATAAAATGAAGGAACAACTTGGTAATGCTTGTTCTTGACAGGCCATAAAAGAGGTGGCTGAAAAAAATACGTCTGGGTTGGAGCATTTGGTCACTCAGATTGTAATGTATGTGAACAGTGTGCCAGCATCCTAATCTACGTAAATAAAGTCCCCTGGAGTTCTGCAGTGCCCAGCCACTGCAACTATGTTGGATCCTGCACATTGGCAATCTCCATATAAAAAGTGATGATTGAAATAATTGTATTTATTGTAGTGGCTTGAATTCCTCTACCTATATCTGAAGGATGTTAGTTTACTGAGAGGCACTTAAAAGTAGCTTATTGGTATAGAACATAGTTAATCTTGGTTAGGAAGAACCATTTTAGTTTCTCTGTGTTTCACAGTTTTAGGGTGTAGAATAAAAAATAGAAAAAAAATACCTAGTAGAATGCAAAGCCATTAGGAGATGGCCTATGCCATTTATTATTGATTACCAATGACTGCTACATTGCTGCTGCTTAATAACTAGTAGAATGAATAAATTCATCTATTTGACCTGAGGTGGAAAATGTTCATCCTTTATCATCCACCAAGCTGAGATGCTACTGCAAATAATGGTACATTCCTCTTTACAAAGCAAAGAGGCCTGTGCATTGCAAAATTAGGTTGGATGCACCTAATGGGCATGTTAATCCTGTGTGTCTCTTAGTAACTCACCAGCCCCATTTTTCTTACTACTGAATTACCTGGTACATGCTAAATTGTTCACCAGTTCAACAGAGGGAAATTGTATTAGTCTGTTTTCACACTGCTACTAAAGACATACCCGAGACTGGGAAGAAAAAGAGATTTAATTGGATTTACAGTTCCACGTGGCTGGGGAGGCTTCAGAATCATGGTGGGAGGTGAAAGTCACTTTTTTTGTTGTTTTTTTTTTGAGACGGAGTCTCGCTGTGTCACCAGGCTGGAATGCAGTGGCATGATCTCGGCTCACTGAAACCTCCACCTCTCGGGTTCAAGCAAGTCTCCTGCCTCAGCCTCCTGAGTAGCTGGGACTACAGGCTGCGCCACCATGCCCAGCTAATTTTTGTATTTTCAGTAGAGATGGGGTTTCACCATGTTGGCCAGGATGGTCTCCATCTCTTGACCTCATGGTCTGCCCGCGTCAGCCTCCCAAAGTGCTGGGATTACAGATGTGAGCCACCGCACCCGGCCAAAAGGCACTTCTTACATGGCCCCAGCAAGAGAAAAATGAGAAAGACACAGAAGTGGAAACCCTGATAAACACATCAGATCTCGTGAGACATATTCACCCTATCCTAAGAGTAGCACAGGAAAGACCAGCCCCCATGATTCAATTACCTAGCCCTGAGTCTCTCCCGCAACACGTGGGAATTCTAGGAGCTACAATTCAAGTTGAGATTTGGGTAGGGACACAGCCAAACCATATCATTCCGCCCGTGGCTCCTCTAAATCTCATGTCCTCACATTTCAAAACCAATCACGCCTTCCCAACAGTCTCCCAAAGTCTTAACTCATTTCAGCATTAACCCAAAAGTCCACAGTCTAAAGTCTCATCTGAGACAAGGCAAGTCCCTTCCGTCTATGAGCCTGTAAAATCAAAAGCAAGCTAGTTACTTCCTAGATACAATGGGGGTACAGGTATTGGGTAAATACAGCTGTTTGAAATGGGAGAAATTGGCCAAAACAGAGGGGTTGCAGAGCCCATGTAAGTCTGAAATCCAGTGGGGCAGTCAAATTTTAAAGCTCCAGAATGATCTCCTTTGATTCCAAGTCTCAAAATCAGGTCACGCTGATGCAAGAGGTGGGTTCCCATGGTCTTGGGCAGCTCCGCCCCTGTGACTTTGCAGTGGACAGACTCCCTCTTGGCTGCTTTCATGGGCTGGCGTTCAGTGTTTGTGGCTTTTCCAGGTGCATGGTGCAAGCTCTTGGTGGGTCTACCATTCTGGGTTCTGAAGGACGGTGGCCCTCTTCTCACAGCTCTACAAGGCAGTGCCCCAGTAGGGACTCTGTGTGCAGGCTCTGACCCCACATTTCCCTTCTGCACTGCCCTAGCAAAGGTTCTCCATGAGGGCCTCGCCCCTGCAGCAAACTTTTGCCTGGGAATCCAGGCATTTCCATACATCTTCTGAAATCTAGGCGGAGTTTCCCAAACCTCAATTCTTGACTTCTGTGTACCCACAGGCTCCACACCACGTGGGAGCTGCCAAAGTTTGGGGCTTCCGCCCTCTGAAGCCACAGCCTGAGCTGGACATTGGCCTCTTTCAGCCATGGCTGGAGTGGCTGGGTCACAGGGCACCAAGTCCCTAGGCTGCACACAGCACGAGGACCCTGGGCCCAGCCCACGAAACCACTTTCCTCCTGGGCTTCCGGACCTGTGATGGGGATGCTGCTGTGAAGGTCTCTGACACAGCCTGGAGATATTTTACACGTGGTCTTGGGGATTCACATTAGGCTCCATGCTACTTATGTAAATTTCTGCAGCTGGCTTGAATTTCTCCCCAGAAAATGGACTTTTCTTTTCTGTCACATAGTCAGGCTGCAAATATTCCAAACTTTTATGCTCTGCTTCCCTTATAAAACTGAATGACAAGTCACCTCTTGAATGCTTTGCTGCTTAGAAATTTCTTCTGCAGATACCCTAAATAATCTTTCTCAAGTTTAAAGTTCCACAGATCTCTAGGGCAGGGGCAAAATGACGTTAGTCTCTTTGCTAAAACATAACAAGAGTCACCTTTACTCCAGTTCCCAACAAGTTCCTCACCTCCACCTGGACCTTATGGTCCATATCGCTATCAGCATTTTGGGCAAAGCCATTCAGTAAGTCGCTAAGAAGTTCCAAACTTTCCCATATTTTCCTGTCTTCTCCTGGGCCCTCCAAACTGTTCCAACCTCTGCCTGTTACCCAGTTCCAAAGTCATTTCCACATTTTTGGGTATCTTTTCAGCAACGTCCCACTCTAATGGTACCAATTTACTGTATTAGTCTGACACTGACATACCTGAGACGGGGAAGAAAAAGATGTTTAATTGGACTTACAGTTCCACGTGGCTAGGGAGGCCTCAGAATCATGGTGGGAGGCGAAAGGCACTTCTTACATGGTGGCAACAAGAGAAAAATGAGAAAGAAGCAAAAGTGGAAACCCCTGATAAACCCATCAGTTCTTGTGAGACTTATTCACTGTGATGAGAATAGCAAGGGAAAGACCAGCCCCCGTGATTCAATTACCTCCCCTTGGATCCCTCCTACAACACGTGGGAATTCTAGGAGCTACAACTCAAGTTGACATTTGGGTGGGGACACAGCCAAATCATAACAGAAATACACAAAATATTATCTATTAATCATTACCCCAGGCATAAAATATTACTGCAAGATTGGTAAAGAAAGTCATAATAAAGATATGGCAATAGATTAATGCCCATTAATACAGACAATGCCAGGAAGAACTATATCCATTATTATTCATGTAGTGAAAATAAAATGATACCTACAGTACTCCAAACATTGTCTCAGCTTTTAAAAATACAAAGTAGAATTTTCTTAACTAACTGTATCAAGTTGCATCTTTTACCTGTTGTTAAAAGTACTTTTAAAAAAGAAAAGAAAAAGTGGGATGCTGTCAAATGGCAGTGAACAGGACAAAAGCATGTTTTATTTGATTTCTAAATAGGATGAATTTATATACTGGGTTAAAAATAAGGTTCTGATAAAATTTTGTGACTTTGATGAAGACAAAGTGTTTACATAAATCAAGGCTAAGAACAAGAGTATGTCTGAGTTGCATCTCAAACATCTCTTGAAGAGGATATATCATCATGAGACTTTCCACCAAGAAACATATTTTGATAACGCCCCAAAAGTACCCCTAAAAGAGACAATGTTTTCCATGATAAGGGCCGCATGACATAATGGCTAGGAAGGCAGATATTATAAACATAAAATAATTTTCTGTTGTGAAAGAAAACTATAAAATAAAAGTAACACAAAAATTACCTGAAATTATACGTAAATATTTAAAGGATGTAATGTCATGTCACAATGAAAGATCAAAAAATTAATATTAGGATTCATGTAAGATATTTCACTCTTAAATTCTAAGGGGAAAGATTTTTTAAAGCATCTAATGCTTTATTACTGTAGCAATATACTTAATTTCTCTTGGGAACTTGTGAAGATGCTGACTTATTTAAGACTAATTCAGGAAAAACTGGGAAAACAACCATACTTCACTCAAAAATAAGGAAAATGCATGACAGCACTTGTGATTGGGGGACCCACTCATCAGTTTGACTGAATTAAGAATTGATTGTCGGCATTTTAAAGGCAAATCATCAACCTTGTTTGGTAAACTCAGTGGGGAATTTTAAAGCTATATAAAAAGTATAATTTCATCAGAATTTAGAAATTCCCTTAACCGAAAATGTTACTTCAGGTAATGTAAAAGATTGGAAAATAGGATTGCTTTTTGAATTTGAAAGTTATATTGTCATGTAGGCAAGGGCACAGAGAATTCAGGAAACATTTTTTGAGCAACCACCATGATAAAGACACAGAGCTAAAATATAGAGACATGGGAATGACCTCTGCCCTTAAGTAACTTGCTGCCAATTGAAGGATGCCAATATGTACACAAATAATCATACCTCAGGAAAAAAAAAAGATGCTATAGAAGTTTCTAAGAATATCTGATTGATTTTTATCCATGTATGAGGGGTGGCTGAGAGTTCTGATTAAATTGGACCTAAAAGATGAGTAAATTTCCACAGTAGAAAGGATACTGCAGGCAGGAAGACAAATTTGAAAGGAAATGCTGAAATTGTAGCGGGTGGGTAGTAAAACATGGGAGAAGAATGGCAGATATTTCCACAGTTTCTAGACTATGTGAATAAAAGAACTGTGAAACAATTAACTCAACTGAGAAATAGGAAAGGAAATAGAAATGAAATATGAATTTGGTTTTGCACTGATTGTTAAATTTATGAACTGGCAGGACATCTATACAGGGATTAACAACAGTCAGCTGGAGATAGGAATCTAGACCAAGAAAAGGTCAGGGCCTGAATTTTGAATCTTTCAAATGAAAGTTAAAGTCACAGCGATGAATGAATTTTTTCAGGTAAAAAAAATAAAAATAAAAAGTATATATAGGGAAAAACAAAAATAGAATCTTGAATATTACTGCTTTTTATGGTGTATTCAGAGACAGATTGAGACTAGTAAGGTGTAGCCAGAGATAGCTTAAGAAATCCAGAGAAAACCAGTAAAAATCTAGGGAAGGAGAGAATTTCAGGAACAAACTAGTGGCCCAAAACTCCAAAAACCACATAGAGGTTTCATAGGATAAAGACTGAAGATGGACCACTGTTGAAGACATTTCCTTCTTCAACACGAGATTGCTTTGAAAATTGTAGGCCGGGTGCGCTGGCTCACGCCTGTAATCCCAGCACTTTGGGAGGCCAGGGTGGGCGGATCACCTGAGCCCAGGAGTTCAAGACCAGCCTGGGCAACACAGTGAAACCCCGTTTCTACTAAAATACAAAAAATTAGGCGGGCGTGGTGGCATGCGCCTGTAATCTCAGCTTCTCAGGAGGCTGAGGCAGGAGAATGGCTTGAACCTGGGATGCGGAGGTTGCAGTGAGCCGAGATTATGCCACTGTACTACAGCCTGTGCAACAGAGCAAGACTCCATCTCAAAAAAAAAAAAAAAAGAAGAAAAGAAAAGAAAATTGCAAACTTGGATGTAAATATAGTTTCAGATATTTTCCTTGTAAATTCAGATATGGGCTTAATTTGTGTTCTGCTCCCAGGGTCTCTCTTGGTAAGGGTGAAGAGAAAAAAACATTATTTGGATAATTTATTTAAAACAATTTGGCTGCAACTGGCCAAGTAATTGACAACTTTATTAGCGTTTACCCAAACATCGGAGGCAAAGGTATTTAGTACTTTAATTTTCCATTATGTTCATGAATGGAGAAGGGCATTCAAAGCTCATCCAGGCATATTAAAATGCTACCTAATATCAAGTCATTCCACTTTGTAGAAACATATTTCTCAGTCATAGCTTTTGACTTTGACTTTATCATTTCCTTATTAAGAGAAAGTAGTTGGCATTAATATTTTGAGGAACAATTATATATAGGCACAAAATTATAAGATACAAATATATCTACTCTCAAGCACTTTATAACATAATTTGGAAAATGGGCTATAATTTAATTAGGTAGAGAAGACTATCATGTACTTCTAACTGTAATGAAGAATAAAGGAAAGTCTCAAGAAGGCACTAAAATTATCCATTGCCTTGAAGAAAGAGCAAATAAAATCAAGAGAAAGGATCATGTGATATCTAGGGATAAAATTAGCAGGAATTAACACCATTGTGTTGTGAGGAAGTGGATACATCTGCCTAGACAAGAAAAAGGATAGGGGATATGGACTGGGTTTAGATCCATGCTTATCCAAGCAAAATAAGGTTAGATATTTATGGGCAAAACCATATTTCTGATGGACTTAAAATTCTTAAATTCTTAAAATTGTTCAATGAAGACTTATTTTAATGTTACAGAAAAGAGATCCCATTGATTGATTTTTAAGTAGTATAATATTCTTTAACATCATTGCTTTTCAGGATGGATTCTGTCACGGAGGGAAGAGAGAGCTCACATTGAGGAACAGCAGAAAGTAGACTGCTGCAGTAATATATGTATGGCATGCTTACAGCTAAATAGCAATGATATAAAGAACAAATATAAAATATGTTTGAAAGGAAAGTTAATGAAACTTATTACTAAACTTGGATGACACTTACAGAAACAGGGAATTTGGAAAGAAAGCTTGTTTGAGAATAGAAGACTGTAAGACAGATATTCAGATAGCCTCAAAAACCTATGTTGCTTGCCCCAGATACTAGTACT